>NC_000007.14:149155349-149306864 GCF_000001405.40 Homo sapiens
ACAGAGGTTGCAGTGAGCTGAGATTGCGCCACTGCACTCCAGCCTGGGCAACAGAGTGAGACTCCGTCTCCAACAACGACAAAAAAGAAGAATCACCTGGTAGGCTTTTAAAATTTTGGTGAGCATCACATCCAGATTCTGACCTAATAGGTCCAGGATGGAGCTTAAGCATGAATAATTTTTTAAAAACCTCCATAGATGATTCTAATATATGACTAGGGTTGTGAATCACTGATGTGTAGGGCATTTAAGACCAAGGAAAGGAATTTGGATTTTTAACTAAGGTGTAATGAGGAGAAATTGGAGGGTTTGAAGCAGAGGAATTATATTTGGTTATATATATATATATATATATATATTTTTTTTTTTTTTTTTTTTTTAATTTTTTTTTTTTTGAGATGGAGTCTCACTCTGTTGCCCAGGCTGGAGTGCAGTGGCGCCATCTCGGCTCACTGCAAGCTCTGCCTCCCGGGTTCACGCCATTCTCCTGCCTCAGCCTCCTGAGTAGCTGGGACTACAGGCGTCCGTCACCATGCCCAGCTAATTTTTTGTATTTTTAGTAGAGACGGGGTTTCACCATGTTAGCCAGGATGGTCTTGATCTCCTGACCTCGTGATCCGCTCGCCTTGGCCTCCCAAAGTGCTGGGATTATAGGCATGAGCCACCGCGCCCGGCCAGTTTTATATATTGAAAGAATCCCTTTGGCTGCTTTGTGGAGGATGGATCGTAGGGGAAGAACTGAAGAAGGGAGGAAATACTAAGGCAGGGAGGGATGCAAGTGGCTTGGATGAGGGTAGCAGTTGTAGAGATGGAGAGAAGTGGACAGATGCAGGATGTTTGGTGGTAGAACTGACAATAAGAGTTACTGATGGGAAGGCAGGGTGCATTGGCTCACGCCTGTAATCCCACCACTTTGGGAGGTTGAGGCGGGCGGATCATGAGGTCAGGAGTTTGAGACCAGCCTGGCCAACATGATGAAACCCCGTCTCTACTAAAAATACAAAAAAATTAGCTGAGCGTGGTGGTGGGCACCTGTAATCCCAGCTACTTGGGAGGCTGAGGCAGGAGAATCGCTTGAAGTTGAGGGGGAGGTTGCAGTGAGCCGAGATCACGCCACTGCACTCCAGACCAGGCAACAGGGCGAGACTCCATCTCAAAAAAAAAAAAAAAAAAAAAAAGAGTTACTGATGGGAATTAGGAAATAAGGCATTAAGAACAGTAATTGTAGGCCAGGCGCAGTGGCTCACGCCTGTAATCCCAGCACTTTGGGAGGCCAAGGCAGGTGGATCACCTGAGGTGAGGAGTTTGAGACCAGCCTGACCAACATGGAGAAACCCCATCTCTACTAAATATACAAAAAAATTAGCTGGGCCTGGTGGCGCATACCCGTAATCCCAGCTACTTGGGAGGCTGAGGCAGGAGAATCGCTTGAACCCAGAAGGCGGAGATTGCGGTGAGGGGAGATTGTACCACTGAACTCCAGCCTGGGCAACAAGAGCGAAACTCCATTTCAAAAAAAAAAAAAAGAATAATTATAAATTTACTGTGTGGTAATTTAGTTAGAACTTACTATTCTAAGTGTTCTACTTATTTTAAGGCATATGAGTCTCAGAAGAACCCAACTTGCCCGAGGTCACATAGTTAATATAAATAACAAAGTTGTGTTTTAACTAGGTTGGCTCCAGAGCAGATGCTCTTAACCACGTTAGGTTTACTGTCTCAGGCTTTCGGCTTGAAGAACTGGGTAGATGGTGTTGGAGTTTCCTTGAGGGGAATACCTTGGGAAAGTGTGGCCTTGGGGGTGGGAGGAAATTAGGAGTTCCCCTTTGACAATGTTAGGTTTGAAATGCCTGTGATACTTTCAGGAGAGACGTTAAAAGTGGACTAAGAAAGTCCAGGACAGGGCGGGGCACGGTGGCTAATGCCTGTAATCCCAGCACTTTGGGAGGCCGAGGCGGGCGGATCACGAGGTCAGGAGATCGCGACCATCCTAGCTAACACGGCGAAACCCCGTCTCTACTAAAAAATATATAAAATTAGCCGGGCGTGGTGGCGAGCGTCTGTAGTCCCAGCTACTCGGGAGGCTGAGGCAGGAGAATGGCATGAACCCGGGAGGCGGAGCTTGCAGTGAGCCAAGATGGCGCCACTGCACTCCAGCCTGGGCGACAGAGACTCCGTCTCAAAAAAAAAAAAAGAAAATCCAGGACCAGCAGGGCGCGGTGGCTCACGCCTGTAATCCCAGCACTTTGGGAGGCCAAGGCAGGCGTATCACGAGGTCAAGAGATCGAGACCATTGTGGCCAACATGGTGAAATCCCGTCTCTACTAAAAGTACAAAAATTAGCTGGGCGTGGTGGCGCTCGCCTGTAGTCCCAGCTACTTGGGAGGCTGAGACAGGAGAATTGCTTGAACTCGGGAGGCGGAGGTCGCAGTGAGCCGAGATCGTGCCACTGCACTCCAGCCTGGCGACAGAGTAAGACTCTGTCTCAAAAAAAAAAAAAAAAAAAAGAGTCCAGGACCAAGTCCGGTGGTAGGAGGAGCCGGCAGAGGAGATTAAGAAGGAAAGGCTGGGCCAGCGCCGTGGCTCATGGTGGCAGGCGCCTGTAGTCCCTGCCTGTAGCTACTCGGGAGGCTGTGGCAGGAGAATCGCTTGAACCCAGGAGGTGGAGGTTGCAGTAAGCCGAGATCGTGCCATTGCACTCCAGTCTGGGCAACAGAGCAAGACTCCGTCTCCAAAAAACGAATAAAAATAAAAATCAAAAAGAAGGAAAGGCTGATGAGGTAGAGGAAAAAACAAACAGGAAAGTATGTGGTGTCACAGGGCCAAGGAGAAAAAAAAAGCATCCCAAGTAGAGAGTTGTCATTTATGTTGAATATGTTACTGGGAGGTTTAGAAAGATGAGGACATTGAGTATGATTTGTCTGCATAGATGTCACTGGTGGCTTTTACAATAATTGCTTGTGTGGACTGGTGGGATAGAAGACTGAATGGAGCAGATTTTGAAGAGTGAATGCGAAGAGAAAAAATGGAAAGATGATCAACAACTTTTTCAGATTTTTCTGTGAAGTGGGGTGGAGATGAGGAAGTACCTGGGAAGGATATTGGAGCCGTTTCTCATAGAGAACCTTCTCCATAGTACATTTTGTTTGTGCATCTGGAGCTCCTCCAGAAGTTCCTTGGGATAATTTAAATTTAGTATTCATGGCCTGGCGTGGTATCTCACACCTGTAATCCCAGCACTTTGGGAGGCCTAGGCAGGCAGATCATCTGAGGTCAGGAGTTGGAGACCAGCCTGACCAACATGGTGAAACCCTGTCTCTACTGAAAATACAAAATTAGCTGGGCATGGTGGCGCATTCCTCTAATCCCAGCTACTCGGGAGGCTGAGGCAGGAGAATTGCTTGAACCCAGGAGGCAGAGGTTGCAGTGAGCCGAGATCATGCCATTGCACTCCAGCCTGGGTGACAGAGCGAAACACCGTTTCAAAAAAAAAAAAAAAGAAAATTAGTATTTATTTTAAGAATAATAGTAAAGGTAAGTTAAAATTATTGTCTTATCTGGAATAAGTGGTTAACAGTTAAACTGTCCATCTTAGACTCTAAAATCATCTATAAAGTAATGTGATTTCCCTTAAAGATTTTTTTTTTTTGAGATGGAGTCTCCCTCTTGCTCAGGCTGCAGTGCAGTGGCGTGATCTCGGCTCACTGCAACTTCCACTTCCCGGGGTCAAACGATTCTCCTGCCTCAGCCTCCCAAGTAGCTGAGATTACAGGTGTGTACCACCACGCCTGGTTAATTTTTGAATTTTTAGAGGAACTCTGACCTCAAGTGATGCACCTGCCCTGGTCTCCCAAAGTGCTGGGATTACAGGTGTGAGCCACCGCGCCTGGCCATCTCTTAAATATTTCTTAATGAAATTAAAATGCATTTGATTCTAGTCAAAATGTATTAAAGATTTACTAAATTGAAATATGAGAAACTTTTGTGTCCTTGCTTTGTTGAAAATGCTCTTTTTCGGCTGGGCGCGGTGGCTCACGCCTGTAATCCCAGTACTTTGGGAGGCTGAGGCAGGTGGATCATGAGGTCAAGAGATCGAGACCATCTGGCTAACATGGTGAAACCCCGTCTCTACTAAAAATACAAAAAAAATTAGCCGGGCATGGTGGCGGGTGCCTGTAGTCCCAGCTACCCGGGAGGCTGAGGCAGGAGAATGGCGTGAACCCGGGAGGTGGAGGTTGCAGTGAGCTGAGATCGCACCACTGCACTCCAGCCTGGGCTACAAAGTGAGACTCCGTCTCAAAAAAAATGCTCTTTTTCTGCTCTTAAATTTGAATGCCAAGTTCCAGGTCCAAAATAACTTTTCCTCAAAAAAAAAAAAAATTTTTTTTTTTGAGATGGAGTCTCACTCTGTCTCTGTTAGAAAGATGGAGTGCAGTGGCACAGTCTCCACTCACTTCAGCCTCCACCTCCCAGGCTCAAGCGATTCTCGTGTCTCAGTCCCGAGTAGCTGGGACTAAAAGCATGCACCACCATGCCTGGCTAATTTTTGTATTTTTAGTAGAGATGGGGTTTCCCCATGTTGGCCAGGCTTGTCTCGAACTCCTGACCTCAAGTGATCCTTCTTCCTCAGCCTCCCAAAGTTCTGGGACTACAGGTGTGAGTCACCGGGCCCAGCCAGTGTGAAACTTTGATACATTTGTATAAAGTGTAATGATAAAAGGAGGATAATTAGCTGATTAGCATATCTATCACCTGAAGCATTTATCATTTCTTTGTGTTGGGAACACCAAAAAAATCCTCTTTTCTAGGCCAGGCGCGGTGACTCACGCCTGTAATCCCAGCACTTTGGGAGGCCAAGGCGGGCGGATCACAAGGTCAGGAGATCGAGACCATCCTGGCTGACACGGGGGTCTCAACTAAAAATACAAAAAAGTAGCCAGATGTGGTGGTGGGGGCCTGTAGTCCCAGCTACTTGGGAGGCTGAGGCAGGAGAATGGTGTGAACCTGGGAAGCGGAGCTTGCAGTGAGCTGAGAGTATAGACCAGTTTATACTAGGAAGTGGGATTCTCTTCTGCATATGGCCATTCCCTACATGCAGTCTTAACCCCAGTGAGGCAGAATTCACAGTCCTCCTCTGAATGCACTCTTCAGTTTCCTTCACTTGAATGTTTTCTCCATTCCCATTAGGACTAGCCAAAGTCACATCTCTTTTTGAGTCATGCCAGCCCCATGTCTTGTCCATGTCATTCATTTGCAGATAGTCATATTCCCCTTTGGGGCAGAAACCATATTTTAGTTATCTCAATGCTTAGGGAAAACCTTGTATGTAGTGGATACTCAGAATATTTTCTTGTGTGAATTAAGTATGCTTTGCATTTGTATCTAACTCTGAGTAACTCTGAGTCCTCCACCCTCCAGAAGCTCACAGCTTTAGATTATCACCTTTCTTCTTGAAATCATTGTGAACTCCTAGAGATTGGTCTGTGCCTTATTTTTCCTGTATCCTTTCAGTACCCCATATAGTTTTCTCAGTCAGGAGGCACTTAGTAAACAGTAAAGATTTTTAGACTGAGGGGGCTAGAGTGGGGGCGGGCTGCTGGCTGAGGTGGTGTCTCTGCTCTGCACCCCAAGGAGGCCTGTCAGGAGGAGGTGGGCTTTCCCCAACGCTGCCCTCTTGACCCTTGGAGCTCTCCCAGGATTCCTCAGATTTCCCCAGCGCCCCTTTGGCACTGTGTCTCCTCCTCTTTGCCCTGCCTTCTCCCTGTCCCACCACCACCTCCTCACCCTGTCTATCCCTCCTCCTCTTTGCTCTGGCTCCTTGCCACCAGGATCTTTTCCTAACTTTTTTCTTTCCTAGTAGAGACAATGGGCTGACAACCTGACTTCCAAAAAATATTGAGGAAAGGCAAAAACTAGTTTTTAGGCCAGGTGTGGTGACTCAAGCCTGTAATTCCAGGGCTTTGGGAGGCTGAGGTTGGAGGATTGCTTGAGGCCAGGTGTAGGACACCAGCCTGGGCAACATAGCCAGACCCATCCCTACAAAAATTATGTTTCTAAAGATTGACTCGCCATAGTGGCATGTCACTTCCTGACTCGTCCCAGCTACTCAGGAAGCTGAAATCGGAGGATGACCTGAGCTCAGGAGGTCGAGGCTATAGTGAGCAATGATCACATCACTGCACCCCAGTTTGGATGACAGAGTGAGACCCTGTCTTAAAAACAAGCAAAACAAAACAAAACCAAAACCAAAAACAACTAGTTACCAGATTCTGAATGCCTAACATACAAGCATACAAGGTGGCAGGATGAGTACATAAAGTCGCAAAAAGTACTCAAGTGCCTATTAAATGAAAAGCAAACATACCAGGAAAAACTTCAGCTCCTGCTTGAAGAACTAAGAGGGGAATTAGTAGAAAAGCTAAGGACTTAGAAGAAATGAAGCTGCAGGTAATTAACTCCAAAAAAAAAAAAAAAGGGGAATTGTTAAAAGCCCAAATACAGCAAGAATTAGAAACTCCAGTGTTTTTGCAATTGGGATGAAGAAGTGGAAAAGTATAGAGCTGCAAGCTTTGCTATAAACATACATTTCTTAAATAGAATCTGAAACACTAGGAAGAAGAATTTACATGTAGTTTAGAAAAAAACTCTAAAATTTGAATTAGAGATTTATTTTTATTTTTACTTATTTATATATTTTTCAAGACAGGGTCTTGCTCTCGCCTGGGCTGGAGTGCAGTGGTGCTATCTTGGCTCACTGCAGCCTTAAGGCTCAAGTGAGACTCTTGACTCAGCCTCCCGAGTGGCTGGGACTACAGGTGTGCATTACCACAGCTGGTTAATTTTTTTTTTTGAGTCGGAGTCTCGCTCTGTCGCCCAGGCTGGAGTGCAGTGGCGCAGTCTCGGCTCACTGTAACCTTCGCCTCCTGGGTTCACGCCATTCTCCTGCCGCAGCCTCCCGAGTAGCTGGGACTACAGGCGCCTGCCACCACGCCTGGCTAATTTTTTTATATTTTTAGTAGAGACAGGGTTTCACCATGTTAGCCAGGATGGTCTCGATCTCCTGACCTCGTGATCCGCCCGCCTCGGCCTCTCAAAGTGCTGGGATTACAGGTGTGAGACACTGTGCCTGGCCCCACAGCTGGCTAATTTTTAAATTTCTTTATACAGACAGGATCTCACTATGTTGTCCAGGCTGGTTTCGAACTCCTAACCTCAAGTGATGCTCCTGCCTTGGCCTCCCAAAGTGCTGAGATTACAGGCATGAGCCAGTGCACCTGGCCTGAATTATAGATTGCAAGACTGGGGAAAGATGTAGAACTATATAACCAGCTGCTTAGTGTTGATCCCACAAGAGGCAACAAATGAGTAGAGGAACTTGTTTGAGAAAAAGTCCATTTGTTTCAGAAATTAAAATAATTCATAGGCTGGCTGGGCACAGTGGTTCACGCCTGTACTCCCAGCACTTTGGGAGGCCGAGGTGGGCAGATCGCCTGAGGTCAGGAGTTTGAGACTAGCCTGGCCAACATGGCAAACCCCTGGGTGGGGGGAGGGGGGCGGCGGAGGTTGCAGTGAGCTGAGATCGTGCCATTGCACTCCAGCCTGGGCAACAGAGCGAGAGTCTGTCTCAAAAAATATATATATATTCATTCAGAGGCTGAAGTAGCAGATTTAACGGCTGAAAAAGAGAATTCTGGTGCTCAGTTAGAAAACGTCCTAAGAATACAGGTGTGACAGTTGGCTGAGATGCAGTTACAGTCAGGTCCCAGTAGGCCAAAAATGTCACGTAAACTGTAGGTTAAATGCTCGGAAAAAGAGCCACAATCAAACAATGAACAAAATACCTGTTTTGTTTGTTTGTTTGTTTGTTTTTTTCAGACAGAGTTTCACTCCTGTCGCCCAGGCTGGAGTGCAGTGGCGTGATCTCAGCTCACTGGAACCTCCGCCTCCCAGGTTCAAGCGATTCTCCTGCCTCAGCCTCTTGAGTAGCTGGGATTACAGGCATGCGCCATCATGCCCAGCTAATTTTTTTTTTTTTTTTTTGAGATGGAGTTTTGCCCTTGTCGTGCAGGCTGAAGTACAATGGTGTGATCTCGGCTCACCGCAACCTCCGCCTCCCGAGTTCAAGCGATTCTCCTGCCTCAGCCTCCCAGGTAGTTGGGACTACAGGCCTGTGCCACCACGCCCCTGGCTAATTTTGTATTTTTAGTAGAGACGGGGTTTCTCCATATTGGTCAGGCTGGTCTTGAACTCCCGACCTCAGGTGAGCCACCGCGCCCGGCCAAGCCCAGCTAATTTTTGTGTTTTTAGTAGAGACAGGGTTTCGCCATGTTGGTCAGGCTGGCCTCAAACTGCTGACCTTGGGTGATCCACCCGCCTTGGCCTTCCAAAGTTCTAGGAGCCACTGCGCCTGGCCAAAGTACCTTTTTAATCATTAAAGATTACATAAAACTGAACAAGAAAGAAATACCCTGACCAGGCTGGGAGTGGTGGCGGTGGCTCACGCCTGTAATCCCAGCACTTTGGGAGGCTGAGGTAGGTGAATCATTTGAGGTCAGGAGTCGAGCCCCACCTGACCAATATGGTGAAACCCCGTGTCTACTAAAAATACAAAAATGAGCCAGGCGTGATGGTGTGCACCTGTAATCCCAGCTACTTGGGAGGCTGAGGCAGGAGGATTGCTTGAACCCAGGAGACAGAGGTTGCAGTGAGCCGAGATAGCGTCACTGCACTCCAGCCTGGGTGATGGAGCAAGACTCCATCTTAAAAAAAGAAAGAGGGCCGGGCGCAGTGGCTTGAGCCTGTAATCCCAGCACTTTGGGAGGCCGAGGCGGGCAGATCACAAGGTCAGGAGATCGAGACCATCCTGGCTAACACGGTGAAACCCCATCTCTACTAAAAATACAAAAAATTAGCCGGGCGTGGTGGTGGGCGCCTGTAGTCCCAGCTACTTGGGAGGCTGAGGCAGGAGAAGGGCGTGAACCCGGGAGGCAGAGCTTTCAGTGAGCCAAGATCGCACCACTGCACTCCAGCCTGGGTGACAGAGCAAGACTCCGTCTCAAAAAAATAAAAATAAAAATAAAAAAAGAGAAAGAAAGAAATACACTGAGCACTAAAGTCAAAGAACGAAACTTTCAAGCATACTAGAAATAACAGCCATGAAACTAGAGGCAGCAAGAGTGAGCTAGAAAGGGAAAGGAAAAAGATTCAAAGTGAACTGGATGGTTTACTGTCAGACAATGAAATTCTGAGACCAGCTATTGAACACCACAAAGTGCCCTTAGTAAAAAAAGATCATATATTAATATGTAAGGCACCAGATGCCAAGGAAGAAGGTTGTAAAAGACTTCTGGCATTACAGGATGAAAAGCTAGAATTTGAAAACAAGTTAGCAGATAGAAAATGAAAGTGGATCATGATGTCTGCAAGCAATGTGAAAAGCATCAGTGTGAAAAGAAATTGTGGGAGGCCGGGCACGGTGGCTCACACCTGTAATCCCAGCACTTTGGGAGGCTGAGGCAGGTGGATCACGAGGTCAGGAACTCGAGACCAGCCTGACCAACGTGGTGAAACCCCATTTCTACTAAAAATACAAGAATTAGCGGTGTGTGGTGGCGGGTGCCCGTAATCCTGGCTACTTGGGAGGCTGAGGCAGGAGAATTGCTTGAACTCGGGAGGCAGAGGTTGCAGTGAGACGAGATCGCGCCACTGCACTCCAGCCTGGGTGTACAGCGAGACTCTGTCTCTAAAAAAAAAAAAGAAAAGAAAGAAAGAAAATGCAGAGGAAGAAAAAAACGAAAATTTTGACCTGGAATAGTAAATCAGTAGTTTTCAGATCCAAGTTACCTCACTTGCAGAGTTCGAACCGAATGCTGAAAGAAACGATGGAGACATTAAAACAGGAATGCTGAAATATAAGAAATCAAGCTGAGAAAGTCTAACTAGAAGTCAAAAAGACATTGGAAAAAGAACAGACACAGCAGTTAGAAGAAAAGCATATGCTTCATGAATGTATCTCAGGGAAATGTACAGTCAAGCTAAAGAGAAATTGCAGTGAGCTGCAGTTGCCCAGAAAAACAGGAAATCTTGCCGTGAAAACAATTGAAGAGATGGCAGGACAAGGTGTAAATCTTGGAGGCAGGTAGAGAAGAAATGGAAACAGAAAATTGGGTTTTAAATAGACAAAATGTTCCATTTGAAGAATGTACAAAGCTTCAGAAAAGACTAAAGGATACACACAGAAGACATAATGAATTTTGAAGTTTAATTTTGGTTCCTAACATGCCTCCAAAATCAATCCTGTTTGCTCTCAGTCATCAGCCATGGTATTATCCTTTCCTCCTCATGTGCACGATGAACAGCATCAAAGGGAACTCTGTACTTGGCAAAAGACTAGAGGAACTAGAAACAACACAAAGAAAACAAATAGAGGAATTTGGATCTCCTGGAGAGTGATGTTCTTAGAGAAAAGGCATTTTAAAAGAGGTGAAATCAAAGACTCAATAAAGCTTGAAGTTTTAACATACATGGTATTTAGATATTTTATTACTGCTTACCAAAATACTCGAATGTGCCTCAAGAAAAGGTACCAGCTTTATTTAAGGGACTCGTGCTGTATTGCATGAGTACTAGGATTTTAGGATTTTCTAATGACAAGTGAAGCATTAAAAGAAACCATTTCAGAGATATTTAGAATATTTATTGACCACCCTTTGAAAATGTAAAAAAAATAAAAGGAACTAATTGGAAAGAGATTTATTGAATGACTGAATTATAATGGAAGGGACTAACCCATGTGATTGTAATTTTAGGTGCCTGTGGCATTTGATGATGTCTCCATCTACTTTTCCACTCCAGAGTGGGAAAAATTAGAAGAATGGCAAAAGGAACTTTACAAGAATATCATGAAGGGCAACTACGAGTCTCTCATCTCCATGGGTGAGGCTGAGTTGACACCTTTTGAATGAAGTGACAGCAGCTCCAAGAGGGCTCAGAACAGTCCCTTTTCCTCCAGTGACCTCATTCTCACTCTGTCTTCACACACTTCAAATTCTGGTTTCAAGCCAAAATATGACCAATTAATGCTTGCTAACTAGGAATCATAATCTCTCTTTTTACCAAATTGTAGGACAGAGAATGAAGTTCAGGGTTATGGGTGTGACAGCTGGTGGTTTCCATGGGTATCCTTCACTTGGAAAGGAGCTTGACTTCTCCCCCTTGAGGCACACTGTCACTCTGAAAGCAGTGCTAACCTAGCACATGTGCTTTCCCCACACATTACATCTCCACTGCCTGCTTTCCTGAATAGATATCCACAGCTGAAGATGGATAGATGGGAAGAAGTGATATGAAATCTAAAAGAAATTCCCTGGCACTGTGACCACAAAGCTTCAGCTCAGCCTTGATGGCAATTAGTTGTCATCCTCATTTATCTCTTTGTAATACTCTCTCTTCCTTTTTCCTCTCCTAGATTATGCTATAAATCAACCTGATGTCTTATCTCAGATTCAACCAGAAGGGGAACATAATACAGAGGACCAGGCAGGGCCAGAGGAAAGTGAGATTCCCACAGACCCCAGTGAAGGTAAGTGGGAGAAGAGATTCCTACTTCTTGTCTCCCTTTCCTGGTCAGACATGGTGGCTCAGAGCTAAGCAGGGCTTAGGGGCTTCTAGAGCCATTCATTGCTAAAGCAACTAGATTTTGAATGTGTCATCAGGCATTTAAATATAAAAGGGAGCTTAGAGGTCACCTTGTCCAGTGTCTTCACCTATCAGTACTACACACCTAACAGTTACAAGTTGCATTTCCTGACAGAAGTACTGACACCTAGCTGTTTAATAAAATAAACATGTCCTTACATGATGAAGGAGGCAGTCATGCTCATCTGGACTAAATTGGCTTGAGCAAATATAAGCATGGCCCTTCATAAGTGCTGAAGGGACTAGGAGTCTGCATGGTCCCTCTAAGATGCATGGAACCAGTAGACACTGATGACATCCACCTGGGCAACATGGATTTTCTCAGGTCTGGGAAGCTGGCTATCATGAACTCTTCCTAACTTTTTGGTTGGCAGCTGCTTAACATTGTGTGGGAAAGACTGCCAACCAAAGTCCAGTTTTATTGTTTCTCTCATGCCTCACCTTGCTGTCAGAAAATTCTCATACACTTTTTTGTTCTTTGATGGATAGAAGCACACAGAAAGTTGATCCTCCGGGCATCTCTATTATATGAACTTCTCTTACAACCCACCCGCTATCCCATATAGTTATTTTTTTCTTTTTCTTTTCTTTTTTTTTTTTTTTTTTGAGACGGAGTCTTGCTCATGCGATCTCGACTCACTGCAAGCTCCGTCTCCTGGGTTCACGCCACTCTCCTGCCTCAGGTTCCCAAGTAGCTGGGACTACAGGCGCCCGCCACCACGTCCGGATAATTTTTTCTATTTTTTAGTAGAGATGGGGTTTCACCATGTTAGCAAGGATGGTCTTGATCTCCTGACCTCGTGATCCACCCGCCTCGGCCTCCCAAAGTGCTGGGATTACAGGCCTGAGCCACCGCCACATTTATTTTTTTCTAACATTTTATTATGAAAATTTTCAATCAGAAAAGTTAAAATATTTTTATAGTGAACACCTGGATATCCAGCGCCTAAATTCTGCCACTAACATTATACCATCCTTCCTTATCATGCATATATCTATCACTGCATCACTCCATCCAGCCATCCGTCTATTATTTATTTATTTATTTTGGAGATGGAGTCTCACTCTGTCGCCCAGGCTGGAATGCAGTGGTGCGATCTTGGCTCACTGCAACCTCCACCTCCTGGATTAAAGTGATTCTCTGGCTCAGCCTCCTGAGTAGCTGGGATTACAGGTGCCCACCACCACGCCTGGCTAATTTTTGTATTTTTAGTAGAGACAGGGTTTCAGCATGTTGGCCAGACTGGTCTCGAACTCCTGACCTCAAGTGATCTGCCTGCCTTGGCCTACCAAAGTGCTGGGATTACAGGCATGAGCCACCGCACCCAGCCATCTATCCTATTTTTGATGTATTTCAAAATCAGTGAAGACATCAATGCATTTTCCTGTAAATAGTTCAGCATGAATATTATTAACCTAGAGTTCAATATTTGTTTTTTTCTTTTCAGGTAAATTTTACATATAATGAAATTTCAAGTCTTAATTGAGTTTTAAGCAATGTACACATCTGCCTCACATTTATTATTATTATTATTATTTTGAGATGGAGTCTCACTCTGTCGCCCAGGCTAGAGTGCAGTGGCGTGATCCTGGCTCACTGCAACCTCCGCCTTCCAGGCTCAAGTGATTCTCCAGCCTCAGCCTCCTGAGTAGCTGGGATTCCACGCCCGGCTAATTTTTGTGTTTTTAGTAGAGATGGGGTTTCACCATGTTGGCCAGGCTGGTCTTAAACTCCTGACTTCAAGTGATCCACCCGCCTTGGCTTCCCAAAGTGCTGGGATTACAGGAGTGAGCCACCACGCCCGGCCATATTATTTTTTAAGAATGTGTAGGTGATTGCATTTAGTCAGTGTAACACGTTGCATTTTACTAATCTTTATATCACAGATATAAGTAATGAGGCTAAAATAATACCACCAATAAAGATGAGTGACTTGACTACAGAAAGATTTCTTATTGGGTATATTTCTTTGGTCTACATTATTAGTTATCTGTCATAGACCTCAGCAAGTACAAATGAATATATCATTGTATTTTATGGGATGGGTGAAAAAGATAACAAGTAATTAGGTTTTGTGATAACGTATCAAAGTTTCATTTTGCTGTTATCTTGTCAGTTTGTTTTTACCATGGGTTTTCAAGATGCTCATGCCTCAACCCCCTGAGTAGCTGGGACTATAGGCATGTGCCACCATGCCCAGCTAATTTTTGTATTTTTAGTAACGATGGGGTTTTGCCATGTTGGCCAGGCCGGTCTTGAACTCCTGACCTCAGGTGACCCACCCACCTCGGCCTCCTAAATTGCTGGGATTACAGGCATGAGCCACCGTGCCTGGCCTGTTATTTTCTGTTGGTTGATCAAATTGTCAGCTTCACAATTTCTTTCGTTTGTTTGTTTGTTTTTAAGACAAGGTCTGGCTCTATTGCCCAGGCTAGAGTGCAGTGCCATGATCAGAGTGCAGTGCCATGATCTGAGATCAGTGCAGCCTGTGCCTCCTGGGCCCAAGCCATCCTCCCATCGCAGCCTCCCAAGTAGCTGGGACTACAGGCACACACCACCATGCCTGGCTAATTTTTGTATTTTCTGTGGAGATGGGGGTTTGCCATGTTGCCCGGGCTGGTTTTGAACTCGTGAACTCAAGTGATTCACCTGCTTCGGCCTTCCAAGGTGCTAGGGTTACAGGCCTGAGCCACCACACCCAACCTCAGTACTTGTTTTCTTAAAAAAAAATATGCTCCTGGCTCTGTTGGAGGGCCCAAAGACCACTCCCAGATTTCGTGATCTGCTAGGAGGACTCACAGGATTCCCATATGGTTGTACTCACAGCAAGATTTGTTAGAATGATACAAAGTAATATCAGCAAAGGGAAAAGGTACCTGGGACAAAGTCTGCAGGAAACCAGGGACAGGCTTCCCAGAGTCCTCTCCCAGTGGAGTCTTATAGGATATGCTTAATTGTTCCAGTAATGAGTTGTAACAACCAGAAAAGCTCATTAGAGACTCAGTGCCCAAGGTTTTTATTGGGGGCTAATCACATGCATACCCTCTGTCTAGCACTTACCCAAATTCCAGACTCATAGAAGGAAAGCACGTGTTCTGCATATACCACACTGTTTGACAAACACAATCATGCGCTGCTGAACAATGGGGATATCTTCTGAGAAATGCATCATTAGTTGATTTTGTCATTGTGCAGACATCACAGCGTGAACTCACACAAACTAGATGATGTAGCTTTCTATGTACCTAGGCTATATAGTATAGCCTATTGCTTCTAGGCTACAAACTTGTACAGCATATTATTGTCCTGAATACTGTAGGCCATTGTAACACAATGGTAATTGTGTTTGTAAACACATGTAAAGATAGGAAAGGTACAGCAAAAATCTGGTGTAAAAGATACAAAATGAGCTGGGCACAGTGGCTCATGCCTATAATCCCAGCACTTTGAGGCCAAGGCGGGTGGATCATGAGGTCAGGAGATAGAGACCATTCTGGCTGACACGGTGAAACCCTGTCTCTACTAAAAATCCAAAAAATTAGCCAGCCATGGTGGTGGGCGCCTGTAGTCCCAGCTACTCGGGAGGCCAAGGCAGGAGAATTGCTTGAACCCAGGATGCGGAGGTTGCAGTGAGCCGAGATTACACCACTGCACTCCAGCCTGGGCAACAGAGCGAGACTCCATCTCAAAAAAAAAAATACAAAATGGTACATCTCTATAGGGCACTTGCCATGAATGGAGCTTGCAGGACTGGAAGTTGTTCTCACTGAGTCAGTGAGTGAATGTGAAGGCCTAGGACATTACTAGGCTGTAGACTTTATAAACACTGTATACTTAGGCCACACTAAATTTATAGAAACATTTTTTCTTTTTTTTTTTTGAGCCTCCTGGGTTCAAGTGATTCTCCTGCCTCAGCCTCCTGAGTAGCTGGGACTGCAGGCACGTGCCACCACGCCCGGCTAATTTTTTTTTTTTTTTTTTTAGAAGAGATGGGGTTTCACCATGTTAACCAGGATGGTCTCGATCTGCTGACCTCATGATCCACCTACCTTGGCCTCCCGAAGTGCTGGGATTATAGGCATGAGCCACCGCGCCTGGCCAAGAAATTTTTTCTTTAACCATAAATTAACCTTAGCTTACTGTATTACTTTATAATACAGTAATATACTTATAATACTACTTTATAATATAGTAATATACTTTTATTATTTTATAACTTTCTGACTTTTGTAATAACACTTAGTGTAAAACATATTGTACATATATACAAAAATATTTTTTCTTTATACCCTTTTTCTATAACTTTTTCCTATTTTTAAATTTTTTTACTTATTTTTTTGAAATGAAGTCTTGCCCTGTCGCCCAGGCTGGATTGCAGTGGCGCAGTCTCCGCTCACTGCAACTTCTGCCTCCTGGGTTCAAGTGATTCTCCTGCCTCAGCCTCCCCAGTAGCTGGGATCACAGGCATGCTGCGCCCCCACGCCCGGCTAATTTTTGCATTTTTATTAGAGACGAGGTTTCACCATGTTGGCCAGGCTGGTCTCAAATTCCTGACCTCATGATCCACCCGCCTCTGACCTCATGATCCACCTGCCTCGGCCTCCCAAAGTGCTGGGATTTACTTTTTATTATTTATTTATTTTGAGATGGAATCTTGCTCTGTAGCCCAGGCTGGAGTGCAGTGGTGTGATCTTGGCTCACTGCAACCTCCGCCTCCCAGGTTCAAGTGATTCTCCTGCCTCAGCCTCCCAAATAGCCTGTAGGCTCAAACCACCACACCTGGCTAATTTTTTTATTTTTTTATAGAGATGGGGTATAGCCATGTTGCCCAGTGTGGTCTCAAACACCTGGACTTAAGTGATCTGCCTGCCTTGGCCTTCCAAAGTGCTAGGATTACAGATGTGAGCCACCATGCTCGACAGTGGCCTGTTTTTGACCAAAACACCATTATGCAGTGCATGACTCCATGTGTCTTGCTCAAAACTGTCCTTATATTCAGCACAAATATAAACCTTTGTACTACTATACAAATGTTACATGGTACGTGACTGCAGTTAGGTACAGCCAACCACTCATCATTTAGGGGAAGTTTTGTATCAGCATAGAGACTACATACAGTAGTCCCCCTTTATTGATGGTATCGTTTTCCACAGTTTGTTACCTGCCGTCAACTGTGATCTGAAAATATTAAATGGAAAATTCCAGAAATAATTTATAAGTTTTAAGTTTGCCATTCTGAGTAGTATGATGAAATCTTGCACTATCCTGCCCTGTCTCATCTGGGGCGTGAATCATCCCTTTGTCCAGTGCATCCACACTGTATACGCTACCTGGCCATTAGTCACTTAGAAGCTATGTCAACTGTGGCAGTATTGCAGTGCTTATGTTAAGTACCCCGCGCTCCCCCCCTTTTTAAAAATAAATAATTGCCCCAAACTGCAAAAGTAGTAATGGTGGCAATTCAGATGTATCAGAGAAGCCGTCAAGTGCTTCCTTTATGTGAAAAGGTGAAATTTCTTGACTTAATAAGGAAGGAAGGAAGTTACATGCTGAGGTTGCCAAGATCTCTGGTAAGAACAAATCTTCTATCTGTGAAACTGTGAAGAAAGTAAAAGAAATTTGTACTAGTGCTACTGTTGCACCTCAAACTGCAAAAGTTACGGCCACAGTGTGTGATAAATACTTAGTTAATATGGAAACAGCATTAAAGGCAAGTACAGGCATCTCCAGGATATTGTGGGTTCAGTTCCAGACTACTGCAATAAAGTGAATATCACAGTACAAGTAACAATAACTTTTGTTTTCCCAGTGCATGTGAAAGTTAAGTTTACACTATGCTATACAGTCTATTAAGTTGGCAATAAATTATGTCTAAAAAAACAATGTACATACCTTAATTTAAAAATATTGCTAAGAATCCTAACAATCATCTGAACCTTCAGAGTCATAATCTTTTTGCTAGTGGCGGGTCTTGCCTCAGTATTGATGGCTGCTGACTAATCCGGGTGGTGGTTGCTAAAGGTTGGGGTGGCTGTGGCAATTTCTATTTTTTTTTTTTTTTTTTTTTTTTTTTTTGAGACAGAGTCCTGCTCTGTCGCCCAGACTGGGGTGCAGTGGCACGATCTCGGCTCACTGCAACCTCCGACTCCTAGGTTCAAGCAATTCTCTTGCCCCGGCCTCCTGAGTAGCTGGGATTACAGGCGCCTACCACCATGCCTGGCTCATTTTTTTGTATTTTTAGTAGAGACGGGGTTTCGCCATGTTGGCCAGGTTGATCTCGAACTCCCGACCTCAGGTGATCCACCCGTCTCGGCCTCCCAAAGTTCTGGGATTACAAGCGTGAGCCACCATGCCTGGCTGAAATATGTTTATTTATTTTTTTGAGACAGAGTCTAGCTGTGTCACCCAGGCTGGAGTGCATTGATGCTGAAATAAATTTCTTATGCAATAAGACTTCAAAGTAAAAATTACTCCTTGATCTGCGGGGCTGTAGAATGGATGTTGTTTTACAGGGATGAAAACAACACTCATCTCCTTGTTCATCCCCATCAGAGCTTGTGGGTGACCAGGTGCGTTGTCAATGAGCACTAGTATTTTGAAAGGAATTTTTTCTTCTGAGCAGTAGTTCTGAACAGTGGGCTTAAAATATTCTGTAAACCGTGCTGTAACAGATGTGCTGTCATCCAGGCTTTGTTGTTCCATTTCTAGTGCACAGGCAGTGTAGATTTAGCATAATTCTTTTTTTTTTTTTTTTTTTTTTTTTGAGACACAGTTTGGCTCTTGTTGCCCAGGCAGGAGTGCAATGGCGCTATCTCGGCTCACCGCAACCTCCGCCTCCTGGGTTCAAGCGATTCTCCTGCCTCAGCCTCCTGGGCAGCTAGGAAATACAGGCATGCACCACCACGCCCAGCTAATTTTGTATTTTTAGTAGAGACAGGGTTTCTCCATGTTGGTCAGACTGGTCTCAAACTCCTGACCTCAGGTGATCCGCCCGCCTTGGCCTCCCAAAGTGCTAGGATTACAGGCGTGACCCACCATGCCCGGCCTGATGTAGCATAATTCTTAAGAGCCCTAGGGTTTTCAGAATACTAAAATGAACACCGGGTTCAAGTCACCAGCTGCATCAGCCTGTAACAAGAGAGTCAGCTTGTCCTTTGAAGCCAGACATTGACTTCTCTCTAGTTATGAAAGTCCCAGATGACATATTCTTCCAATAGAAAGTTGTTTCTCATACATGAAAATTTGTTGTTTAGTGTAGCCCCCTTCCTCAAGTAATTGTAGCTAGGCGCGTGCCACCACAGCCAACTAATTTTTGTATTTTTAGTAGAGACAGGGTTTTACCATGTTGGTCAGGGTGGTCTTGAACTCCTGACCTCGTGACCTGCCCACCTCAGCCTCCCAAAGTGCTGGGATTATGAGCGTGAGCCACTGTGCCCAGCCCATTCAGAAAATTTTTAAAAACAAGCAGGTAAGTGTTTTAAAAGTCAGGTTTTTTGGCTAGGCATGGTGGGTCATGCCTATAATCCCAGCACTTTGGGAGGTTGAGGCAGGTGGGTCACCTGAGCTCAGGAGTTGAAGAACAGCCTAAGCAACATAGTGAGACCCCATCTTTACCAAAAATACAAAAAATTAGCTGGGCATGGTGGCACACACCTGTGGTCCCAGCTACTAGGGAGACCGAGGTGGAATAATAGCTTGAGCCTGGGAGGCAGAGATTGCAGTAAGCCAAGATTACGCCACTGTAGTCCAGCCTGGGTGATAGAGTGAGACCCTGTCTCAAAAACAAACAAACAAACAAAAGTCAGATGTTTTGAATGGAAAGTTAATCCTCTGGATATCGGTTCAGAGGTTTTCTTCCTTATATCCAGTCTTTCCCCCCCTCTGCCTTTTTCCTTATAGATATGTATGTGTATAACATCTGGAAGAGAACAAAGATAAGATTGGACTATGTTTAATACACTTCAGCTTTTCTTTTAGGTCAGAACAGGAGGTTGGCAAGGCAACTGTTGCATATGCTAAAATCTATTTCCCAAATCGCTCCCCATAACCGATGGTCGTTTGGGCTTTCGTCTTACCCCAGCCTCTTATTTCTGCTTTGAGAACACCTTTAGATTTCAGTGGCGTCTAACTGATTTAGAAGACATTGGGTAAAGTAGTCAGTTCTGTTAATTTGCTGTGAATTAAACCATATTCTGCCCACAAGGCTGTGTTTGAGAAATAACTATAGAGAGCTTCAGGGGACTCTCTGGAGCTTGACAAGCTCTCTTGTCAGCTTGCCAACTTGTCCATTTAGTCCAAAAAAAAAAAAATAATAAAGCCATATAGGCCTAGGTTGTAATAGCTAGCACAGCTGTTTTGGTACTGATCAGATGAGGCATGTTGTGTGCAAAGCCGATATTGGCTGTGCACTTTTTCTTTCAGAAAGAACCCCCAAGACCTGAAGGACTTGCCAATACTATATTCTTCCCCCTCCCAGCATTTAGGAAACAATGACTTGTATCATTTAATAGACAAAGATAATATATCTCATAGAAAGAGCCCAGAATTGGGAATCTGAAAAGTGTGTTTCTAGGGAGTTGGATTCTGTGTCTATACTGAACTAACTTTGTAATTCTGGAAGTTGATTTGTTTTTTGTTTGTTTGTTTGTTTTGAAATGGAGTTTTTTTGCTCTTGTTGCCCAGGCTGGAGTGCAATGGTGCGATCTCGGCTCACTGCAGCCGCTGCCTCCCAGGTTCAAGCAATTCTCTTGCCTCAGTCTCCTGAGTAGCTGGGATTACAGGCGCCTGCCACCACGCCTGACTAATTTTTTTTATTTTTAGTAGAGACAGGGTTTTGCCACGTTGGTCAGGCTCATCTTGAACTCTTGACCTCAAATGATCCACTTGCCTCGGCCTCCCAAAGTTCTGGGCTTACACGCGTGAGTTACCACACCCATCCTGTATGCATTTTTTAAAAGGCTGGTTCTGTGTTATTGTTATAGTTATTTAGAAATAAATATTTGGGGCCGGGCGCGGTGGCTCAAGCCTGTAATCCCAGCACTTTGGGAGGCCAAGGTGGGCGGATCATGAGGTCAGGAGATCGAGACCATCCTGGCTAACACGGTGAAACCCCATCTCTACTAAAAACAAAAAAATTTAAAAAAAACTTAGCTGGGCGTGGTGGCAGGCGCCTGTAGTCCCAGCTACTCGGGAGGCTGAGGCAGCGGGGAGAATGGCTTGAACCTGGGAGGCGGAGCTTGCAGTGAGCCATCGTGCCACTGCACTCCAGCCTGGGTGACAGAGCGAGACTCTGTCTCAAAAAAAGAAAAAAAGAAAGGAAAAATATTTGGGGCAAAATATAGTGTTCAGCAAACCAACTTGATTATCTTACCTTCTTATTCAAGTTCATGAAGGCCATTTTTTTTTCCTCCCACAAATTAGAGCCTGGTATTTCAACATCAGATATTCTGTCTTGGATTAAACAAGAAGAAGAGCCTCAGGTTGGGGCCCCACCGGAGTCCAAGGAGAGTGACGTGTACAAAAGCACTTATGCTGGTGAGTATGAAATTAAAGAGGTGTTCATGTCCATATCCAGCTCATGCCAGGACTGACTGAAGAAACAGCAGGTGAAATTTGTAGAGGCAAATATGTGGGAGAAGAATGAGGGAAAGAAAAAGCCATGCTCAACATTATGAATGAAACCAAACAGTCACTAAGATAAATTTGAAGTGAGTGAGAAAATACACTCTTACATGCAAAGACAAATGAGAATTGTCAGAAGAAGAAAAACAAGTGCATACAGACGAACCAAAATTATGGGGATGGGGAAAGACAGAAGACGATTTGAAAATCATGTAGAAAGGGTAGAAAACGTGGGAGTGGGGTGGGGAGACAAGCCCTGGAGACAGAAATGGCCATGGAGAGGTGTAAATGGGAATGTTAATTAAGAGCCCTCCCTCAGTGAAAGGAAAATCAATGATGGGAGAAGAAATATAAGTATCTTCCTTCTAAGATACTTTTGCCATTTGTATTGTAGAAGAGAATCTCAAGATCAGAAGGGTCCCAGTCATTTATACAGCTTAATGCATTCTGTTTTTTTTTTAGTATTTTCTGTGCTCTGTGTTCTTTTAGACTGGGAAACACAAATGAAACATAAGATAGTTTTAGCTCTTGAAAAAACTTATGCTAGGGACATACATATCAGTACTAGGCAAGCCTGTTAAGTGTCAAGGATGAGTGGGGTGGACGACTTATATAAATGAATGAGAAGTTTCAGGAACATGCATCAGGTTTGGCTTGGTGACTCGTGCCTGTAAGCCCAGCATTTTGGGAGGAGGTTGAGGCAGGTGGATCACTCGAGCCCAGGAGTTCAAGACCAGCCTGGGTAACATAGGGAGACCCTGTCTCTAAAAAAAAGGAAAATATGCATCAGTTTTAGTTTAGGTATTTAGATAAGACCTAAAGAAGGGCATAAAGCCACAATTGTACCTTAAAAGATTGGTATGATATGGCTGGGTATAATTTGGAAAGATGGGGAGAGAGGGGTAGCATTCTACAAAAGGGAGGACAGAGTAAGTCAAGATGCATAGCAGAAATGTATACTCTGTTCTCAGGGGAAGTAAAGAGACAGCTGACCACAGTGATGGGTTGATCTGATAGAATACAGAGAAATAGGAATAGATAATTATGTGATTTTAGGCTTTGTCACAACAGGCAATAGAGAAAGTTCTTGAGTAGAGGTAAAATATAGTGAAAGTAACGTTGGGAAGATTGATGCCAAGGATTTTCTGTTTCTTAACAGATAGCATAGAAGAGGTACAGTGTTAAATTTTCTGATGAGGGCTGGGTGTGGTGGCTCATGCCTGTAATCCCAGCACTTTGGGAGGCTGAGGCAGGTGGATTACTTGACACCAGGAGTTCGAGACCCCTGGTCAATATGGCAAAACCCCATCTCTACTAAAAATATAAAAATTACCTGAGCACAGCTGGACGCGGTGGCTCATGCCTGTAATCCCAGCACTTTGGGAGGCCGAGGTGGGTGGACCATGAGGTCAGGAGATCGAGACCATCCTGGCTAACACAGTGAAACCCTGTCTCTACTAAAAAGACAAAAAAATTAGTTGGGCGTAGTGGCGGGTGCCTGTAGTCCCAGCTACTCGGGAGGCTGAGGCAGGAGAATGGCGTGAACCCGGGAGGCGGAGCTTGCATTGAGCCGAGTTTGTGCCACTGCACTCCAGCCTGGGCGACAGAGCGAGACTCCGTCTCAAAAAAAAAAAATTACCTGAGCACGGTAGTGCATGCCTGTAATCCCAGCTACTCAGGAGGCTAAGGCAGGAGAATCACTTGAACCCAGGTAGTGGAGGCTGCAGTGAGCTGAGGTCACGCCACTGTACTCCATCGTGGGCAACAGAATGTGATCCTGTCATAAAATAAATTTAAAGTGTCATTTCATTTCTCTGATGATTTGCCACAGAGACCACAGATGTCTCGGTTATTATTGCAGCCTTCTGCTGTATTTCTGATCTGAGCTTCGAGTGATCTGTTAGAGCTGGGTAGGAATGCATGAGAGTTGCTAGTGAGACAGTTATTGATGGGTATAACTCTGGAGTCTTTTCTTTCAGATGAAGAGCTTGTCATCAAAGCTGAAGGCCTTGCTAGATCCTCGTTGTGCCCTGAGGTTCCAGTCCCTTTCTCTTCTCCACCAGCAGCAGCAAAGGATGCTTTTTCAGATGTGGCTTTCAAAAGCCAGCAGTCTACATCCATGACACCTTTTGGACGTCCAGCCACTGACCTGCCTGAAGCCTCTGAGGGACAAGTGACTTTTACTCAGTTGGGTAGCTATCCCCTCCCACCTCCAGTTGGCGAGCAGGTGTTCTCATGCCACCACTGTGGCAAGAATCTCAGCCAAGACATGTTGCTGACCCACCAATGTAGCCATGCTACTGAGCACCCCTTACCCTGTGCCCAGTGCCCTAAGCACTTTACTCCACAGGCGGACCTCAGCAGCACCTCCCAGGACCATGCCAGCGAGACACCCCCCACCTGCCCACACTGTGCCAGGACTTTTACTCACCCATCAAGACTTACCTACCATCTTCGGGTCCATAACAGCACTGAGCGTCCTTTCCCCTGTCCTGATTGCCCCAAGCGCTTTGCTGACCAGGCTCGACTCACCAGCCACCGGAGAGCTCATGCAAGCGAAAGGCCCTTCCGCTGTGCCCAGTGCGGCAGGAGCTTCAGCTTGAAAATCAGCCTCCTGCTCCACCAGCGGGGTCATGCACAAGAGCGCCCTTTCTCCTGCCCTCAGTGTGGCATTGACTTCAACGGCCACTCGGCCCTGATCCGCCACCAGATGATCCACACAGGCGAGCGTCCTTACCCCTGCACTGACTGCAGTAAGAGCTTCATGCGCAAGGAGCACCTGCTGAACCACCGGCGGCTGCACACAGGCGAGCGGCCCTTCAGTTGTCCTCACTGTGGCAAGAGCTTCATCCGCAAGCACCACCTAATGAAACACCAGCGCATCCACACCGGGGAGCGGCCCTACCCCTGCTCCTACTGTGGCAGGAGCTTCCGCTACAAACAGACACTCAAGGACCACCTCCGTTCAGGCCACAATGGAGGCTGTGGGGGTGATAGTGACCCATCAGGTCAGCCACCCAACCCACCAGGTCCCCTCATAACTGGGCTTGAAACTTCTGGCCTGGGTGTCAACACTGAAGGTCTAGAGACCAACCAGTGGTATGGGGAAGGGAGTGGAGGGGGAGTTTTGTAAATCCAAATCTCTGTGGCTTCATGCTTGTATATGCTCACAGCAGGGCACAAAATCCAAGAGAAGGTCTGTGAGCCCCATCCAACACCCACAGTAATTATTATCTGGCACATCAATGAATTTGGGGTCCTATACACTTGACTAGAGACATGCTTGTGTTTTGGAATTTCACACCCTTACAAGAATACCACATTTTGAAACCCAGAAAGACCTGGAAAGGAGCCCAGCATGTCCATCTTTTCAAAGATACAACAAAAGCAGAAGTTACAAGAATATTGCGGAGAGGTTGGAAAGCAGGATTTAACCTCTAGTTCTCTTGTTCTCAGAGAACAGCAGGTTGATAGTAGATTATGTCTCTAGGTAGAGACAGATACATGAGAAGAGCCTCCAAAACTGGAAGCCCATCATAAGGCATGAGAATGTTTAACTATAAAGCCTTTTATTAGTTCTTTGATAGCTAAGATGGTTGTTGGAGAAAGTGCTTAAGCCACTGTTTATGTTGCTGCCTCCTCTCTCAAAACCAGCCAAGATCTGTTCACACACCTCTGTGGCTGTCTTTCCCTGAAACATGGTAACTCAAGACTGCCTGCCTAGGTTTCTTAGATTAATTATTCACATAAATTTTGTTTAATATTGGTTGAACAAGAAATCTGACTTTAAAAGATTATTAAGGAGAATATTCCTTAACTATACTGGCTTGATTTGAAACAGGCTCTTATTGCCATTTAAACTGCCAGAAATCTTTGCCAAGGTCCTGGTTAAAAAAATTGGAAACGGTTTTCTTAGCCCCAGCTTTAAAAGCTAGAGATCTCAGAGAAATAGCTGGCTTAACAATGACAGAACAGCTTAAAATTTGTGCCTACACCATGTTCTGAGAGTCGTTCACATCAAATTCTTATCTTTTCCAAGCCAGTAAGTTGGCTTCTCCATTCCTGGTGTCTGATATTCTTGACAATCATCAGCAACAAAGATCACAGCACTTTCCAGAAGCATGGAGCTTCAGAAAGTGCCAGTGAACTCTTGGTCCTCAGTAGTGAGATGATAACAGTGTTATAATGCAGCTTCCTTGAGCCATCAGAGAGAGTGTATGTTCACCCTATCTGGCTGTATCCCATTGGCAGTGGACAGATTGAGGAAATTCCTAGATCACTGAGAGCTAAGCACCATGCATAGACAACAGTTTGTTCTTGCCTGTGTTGCTTTTAGGGACTTTGACTACCACATGTTCTTTTCTTGGGGTGATTTAATCACCTGGGAGCATCTGAGTCTGCTCCTAAGTGGCTTTGCAACTGGGCCTAAGTTCTGTTTCCTTTATGGATCTCAAATTTTCATCTGCACAATGAGGCTGTTGAAAGGAAAAAAAGTGAGCCTCTAGGAATTATTCAAAAAAAGTCTGTGATACATTCCTTTTCCTGCCAAAGTTCTGTCTCTGTCTTTGGCTTCTGTCCAGGCAAAGCTAAATAAGACAGCAAAGTCAAAGCAGATAAATTCTTGTTGAAACTTGACTAAAATTTATTTGATTTGTTGTTTTACTCCCACTTGGAATCCTGAGGTAGAAGACAGAATGCAGAAGTCTTACATCTTGGGCAGGAAACTGGTTTATTCCTATACTCTTGTTTCCTCTGCTTCTTCCTGAGGTCTAGAACAAGGTCTGGAAATGTTTAGACAGGATATTTTCTTGATGAAGTGATAAGGAAAGGACCCATTTTTTTGCTCATCACCTAGCCCATCCTTCACTCTCTCTAGTTATGCATAACAACACTAGAAGAAGGTGTTAGCCCAGCTAACTTTGCTTCTGGGAAGGCTATGTCTGAACATGTTGCTCTGTAGGATAATCACACTTAGAAAACATCTGCTCCATGACATTCACAATACCAGGGACCATGGGAGACACAAGAAATGTGTGTCTGCTGTCATAACTTACAGTGAAAAAGCCCAATAATACAGAACAAGACATGATGGGCAATACCCTAGCATATTGGGATTAAGAGCTTTCTAGCCAGAATCTGGACCTATACCATGGGAAAATTTAGGGGTGCTGGGAATCCCAAAGCCAAGGTTCTGGCTTCATTGGCAACCCACTAGGAACTTGAATGTGAGATTCAGCTCTAGTTTGCACCTTGATTTCCCCAGTGAAAAGGGAGAAGAGCCAAAGTATTGTCTAGGTGCTGAGTTCCCTTTTCTGAGTGGATTTCAAGCATTTGCCAGGGTATGCTGGAGGAGGGACTCCTAAAGTAGGTGAGATGTGGGACTAGGTAACACTTTAAATACTTTTTTACTCAAAGATTTGCCAAGAACACAGCTTATTAGTGAAAGAGACCTGTGGATTGAAATGGCTGCAGATAGATCCCGCAGTCCCTTCTGAAAGGAACTGTGTAGCCAGCAGGGACCTAAACTTTGGCAAAAAGTGAACACAATTCAAATACGAATGAAGGAAGAGCCCTCAGATGGAACGAAAGGCGATGTGCAAGGCCATCCCAGAGAGACGGAAGCAGGTGCGATACTAAGCCTCAGCCCAAGAATAAAAGAGAGTTCAACTGTTACTCTTTTCTTTCATCAATCCCCTATCAGTTAGAACTGCAGGCCAGTTCCAAAGAGTGTTTGCTTAAGATTCAAAAGTGGGTAAGTAAAATGGATCAGTGGGAAGGATAAGGTGTCCAACAGAAAGTGTGGAGGAGAAACTCTTGGCCTATCAAGTGCTCCTGAGAGAAACCATGCAATTTAACACTTCAGTTAAAGAAATACATGAGAACTGCTTGTCATGACCAGACAAGATAGGAAAGGGGAAACCCCAGAAACGTGCTCTTCATCTGTCAGCCTTTTGGACCAAGAAGCTGTCACTATCACACATAAGCACCATTCCCTTAGAGTGGATCCAGGTGTTGACTATAACCAGATTTACTCTTTGCTTACTAGGTTTTCCATTGTCACCATTGGATGAACCTCTGGTTTAGCCACAGTTGTGAAAATAAATGGAAGTTGGTTGATTGTCTAGAAAGTGCAAGAAGATGGCCCTGCTCCTTTTCTGCTGAACATTTAGTATTGGAAACTCCTACTTCCCTTTTCATTAATAATGTGTGCAAGTTTCCTATTAGCGGGGAAGGTGTGGGGCTCTGCTGGGCTTCTCTTGAGCATATCTGAGAAGTGATGTTCATGTCTATCTCAACCAGGACCAGACCCTGTGACTTACTCGGTAATAACAGTCCACACAAGCCTCGTTGATATTAAAAAAAAAAAAAAAAAAGGACCTCATTCCAAATGGAATGGGAATCCCTAATTTCTGCTCAGATTTTCTCTGAGGAGGGGCAGGACTCCTGCCCTTCCTCTCATGTCTTAGCTTCTTAAACTACAAAAAGCATCCTCAGTGACTGCCTGAGGGCAGCTCAGTAGCCATGAACAAAAGCATCTTTCTTTCTCAAAAATATTTTCTTACGGACAAGGACCTCTGATGTCACCAAATATGTTTTTTTTTTTCTTTCTTTGTGCCTGATTTTTTTTTTTTTTTTTGAGACGGAGTCTTGCTCTGTTGCCCAGGCTGGAGTGCAGTGGCACGGTCTCGGCTCACTGCACTCCGCCTCCTGGGTTCACGCCATTCTGCCTCAGCCTCCTGAGTAGCTGGGACTACAGGCGCCCGCCACCACGCCCGGCTAATTTTTTGTATTTTTAGTAGAGATGGGGTTTCACCGTGTTAGCCAGGATGGTCCCGATCTCCTGAGTTTGTGATCCACCCTCCTCGGCCTCCCAAAGTGCTGGGATTACAGGCATGAGCCACCGCGCCCGGCAACCTGATTGATATTTCTAACCCTGTTCTCTTTAGTCTTGGTTTTTTGTTTGTTTTTGCTGAAAAATTGTTTTTAGAGAAGTCTCACTGTATTGCTGTGTTGCTTAGGCTGGTCTTGAACTCCTAAGTTCAAGTGATCCTCCTGCCAAGGCCTCCCAAAGAGCTGAGATTATAGGTGTGAGCCTCCTTGCCTGGCCTAGCTCCAGTTCTTTATCTGTAGCAAAGGAGCAGTCATTTCTCACAGGGTTTATACACAGAGGCTGTTCTTTGGTTTTGGTTTTGGTTTTTGAGACGGAGTCTGGCTCTGTGGCCCAGGCTGGAGTGCAGTGGCACGATCTCGGCTTACTGCAACCTCTGCCTCCTGGCTTCAAGTGATTGTCCTGCCTCAGCTTCCGAGTAACTGGGATTACAGGTGCACACCACCACAACTAGCTAATTTTTGTATTTTCAGTAGAGATGGAGTTTCACCATGTTGGTCAGGCTGGTCTGGAACTCCTGACCTTGTGATCTGCCTGCCTTGGCCTCCCAAAGTACTGGGATTACCGTGCCTGGTCCGTTCTTTGTTTTAAAATGTTTCAGACTCTTACAAGCAAAAGATACTCAAGTTAGATCAAATTGGTGGGGGCAGGGAGTGTGCAGGGCCTTAACAACAATACATCATGTATGTTAGTACAGCTTAATGGTTATGAGCAGGGACTCTGGAGTCCTCGATTCAAGTCCTGACATCGTAAGTAAGATAACTGATGTATTATTTAACCATCCTGAGCCTTAGTTTCCTTATCTATAGGATAGGGATAATAATACCTGTGTCTCAGAGGTGTTAAGGCTCAAGGGGAAACCTATGTAGTATGTAACACAGGACGCTCACAGGAGGTGTTCAGTATATCGGCTATCAGATTTTACAGGACCAACCAGACGGGGGGTCATAAAGCTGGGCTGAATTTGAAGTGAATTTGCCAAAAACGGAGGCTGCTCTGCAGAAGTATCATGGGCCAGAGCATATTGTTTCTTGCAGAAAACAATATGGAAGGTTCTGTGTATGTATCTAGAAGGTTAGGTTTATGTATCTTGCAGGAGTCATTTGTCACTTTCTAGGATGTTATTCCTTCTGGCTTTGTTTTAGTTTCTTTTTAAATGAGTAACTGGCCACAATCATGTATACACACATTCACAATGACTTTTCTCAACTTGGTCAATTAAATTGCCTCTTCAAAAAAAAAAAAAAAAAATTTACCCTTAAGACCAACCTCCTGGCCGGGTGTGGTGGCTCACACCTGTAATCCCAGCACTTTGGGAGGCCGAGGCGGGTGGATCATGAGGTCAGGAGATCGAGACCATCCTGGCTAACACTGTGAAACCCCGTCTCTACTAAAAAATAGAAAAAATTAGCCGGGTGTGGTGGTGGGCGCCTGTAGTCTCAGCTACTCAGGAGGCTGAGGCAGGAGAATGGCGTGAACCCGGGAGGCAGAGCTTGCAGTGAGCCTAGATCGCGCCACTGCACTCCAGCCTGGGCAACAGAGCGAGACTCTTGTCTCAAAAAAAAAAAAGGAGACCATCCTCCCATCAAAGAAGGCAGATATTCCAGCCCAGAGATGCCTCAAAAACAGTGTCCTGCAATGCTCTCAAAAATTCCCAGGTTACATTTCAAATAAAATACTTGATAAAGGCCGGGCATGGTGGCTCATGCCTGTAATCCCAGCACTTTGGGAGGCTGAGGCGGGCGGATCACCTGAGGTCAGGAGTTTGAGACCAGCCTGGCCAACATGGCAAAACCCCATCTCTGCTAAAAAGACAATTAGTTGGGCGTGGTGGTGGGTGCCTGTAATTCCAGCTACTCGGGAGTCTGAGGCAGGAGAATCACTTGAACCCTGGAGGTGGAAGTTGCAGTGAGCCGAGATTGCGGCACTGTACACCAGCCTGGGTGACAAGGGTGAAACTCCATCTCAAAAAAAAAAATCCATAAAATAATAAAACCTCATTGAGCTATGTGGCTTTATGTTTACTAGCAAAGCTAGTATTTACTGTAAAATCTTAAAACTGGTCTAAAACTTAAGCTACCCAAGAACAGAGGCCATGTATTATTTTGTATTCCTCATGATGCCACATGCTGTTAGGCACATGGTTGCTCAATGAATGATCATATAGTATGAAGACCACCAGAAGTAGGAGTTAAAAAGTGGATGATGGTCCTTGCTTAACATTCTCTACTTGTATGGGGCAAACTACCTAATTTACAAAGATGTTATTTTCCTCTCTCTAATGTGAAGATTGAACAACATGGTAATATAAGTTCCTTTATTCTGGAGTAGGATTGCCAGAATTGGGGAAAAGGCCCTTCAATTACAAAATTACAGAATTTAAGATTTTACTTTTGGGTCCTGTTCCCTTGTCTGGTTTCTTCCTAGATTCTGCCCTATTGAGTGATTGTTCTGCAAAGCAGTATAAACACCTTGGAGAGGTATGCGTTTTTACAGACTAAAGAGTCTCATTCTATCCATATTATAACTCCAAAGCTACACAAACTGAAAAAGTTCTAGCAAAAGTATAACATTTTGTTTTAAATATGAAGTATATATTTAATTCACTTTTTCAAAACATAGGAAAACAGTAATTCTTTTGCTAGGGTGCTAGGGTAATTCAATGATTGCTTTTCCCTATAAATTTTGTGTAACGTAAAGCTCTTTGTGGAAACCTTTTTTTTTTTTTTTTTGAGATGGAGTCTCTTTCTGTTGTCCATGCTAGAGTGCAGTGGCCCAATCTTGGCTCGTTGCAACCTCTGGCTCCCAGCTTCAAGCAATTCTCCTGCCTCAGCCTCCCAAGTAGCTGGGATAACAGGCGCCTGCCACCATGCCCAGCTAATTTTTGTATTTTTAGTAGAGATGGGGTTTCACCATGTTGGCCAGGCCGATCTCCTGACCTCAAATAATCCACTTGTCTTGGCCTCCCAAAGTAGTGGGATTACAGCCACCAAGCCCAGCTGAGTGGTTTTTTTTTTTTTTTTTTTTTTTTTTTTTTGAGACGGAGTCTCACTCTGTCCCCCAGGCTGGAGTGCAGTGGCACGATCTCAGCTCACTGCAGTCTCCCAGGCTGGAGTGCGGTGGCGTGGTTTCGGCTCACTGCAACCTCTGCCTCCTGGGTTCAAGAGATTGTCCTGCCTCAGCTTCCCGAGTAGCTGGGACTACAGGCGACACCACACCCAGCTAATTTTTTATTTTTAGTAGAGACAGGGTTTTACCATGTTGGCTAGGCTAGTCCTGAATTCCTGACCTCAGGTGATCCGCCCGCCTCGGCCTCCCAAAGTGCTGGGATTACAGGAGTGAGCCACCGCGCCCGGCCCGCGTAAAGCATTTTTAATGTTTTTGTAAGAATAAGGATTATTGTCATGAAAAAGGTCCTGGAAAACAAGTCAGGAGGCCAGAGTTTTAACCTTGCTTTCAGTTTTCTCATTCATAATGTGAGGATAATACCTAGTTTACGAAGGTGTTGTGAAGATCAAATGAGGAAAGTTTTTTTTTTTTTTTGAGATGGAGTCTTGCTCTGTCACCCAGGCTGGAGTGCAGTGGTGCGATCTCAGCTCACTGCAACCTCTGCCTCCGGGGTTCAAGCGATTCTCCTGCCTCAGCCTCCTGTGTAGCTGGGAATACAGGCGTGCACACCCCCACCACCCCCGGCTAATTTTTGTATTTTTAGTAGAGAGGGGGTTTCACGGTGTTGGTCAGGCTGGTCCTGAACTCCTGACCTCGTGATCCGCCCTCCTCGGCCTCCCAAAGTGGTGGGATTACAGGTGTGAGCCACCGCACCTGGCAGGAAAGATTTTAAAGTGCTTTGAAGTCTATATGTCAAACATAAGAAGACAGTGTTGATATAGTAGTTGCAGGAGAATTACTTTGTTAACCAGTTAAACAATATCATGGGTCATATTGATGTTTCTCTTCATTCAAGACTGGGCGGAGGCTGGGTGTGATGGCTCACTCATGTTATCCCACCACTTTGGGAGGCCAAGGCAGGAGGATCACTTGAGCCCAGGAGTTTGAGACCAGCCTGAGCAACATAGTGAGACCCCCGTCTCTACCAAAAAATTTTTTAAAAGCTGGGTGTGGTGGCACATGCCTGTAGTCTCAGCTACTTGGAGGCTGAGGTGGGAGAATCCCTTCAGCCCGGGAGGTTGAGGCTGCAGTGAGCCATGATTGCGCCACTGCACTCCAGCCTGGGTGACAGAGTGAGACCTTGTCGCAAAAAAAAAAAAAAAAAAAAAGCAGTAGTTTGTTTCCAATTTGCTTGCCTATGATGAGGAGAAGCTAGCCCAATATTGCAATTTGGGGAGCAATGGGAGAAGTGGAAGTATGGACAGAGATGAAAAAATGTAATGCCAAAAAATTAGTTTTACATGTATAGTGTGTTTAGCTCTGGCAGCAACTTTTGTAAGATAACCACTTGTATGTATAGTAAGAATTAGAACATCAGGAAGGCAGGCACGTTACTAGAGAGAGTTGACTAAACAAGCAGGATTCCACATTAAGGATGTACATCAATCTGTGTACATCAGGTCAGTTCTTGGCCTTGAGTTCATAATTTTAAAAAATTGTATAAGACAATACCTACAAGCCACCCTTAGTGATTAAAGAGCAGGATAAAAACAAGAATAATTACACCAATCATATTTATGTTATTAGCCAAGAAAGTAGTCATTTAGGGTGTTTATTTTTCCAGATGATCTTGTGGGGCTGAGACAAGGAGATGAGGAGTAGGAGGAAGATTCTGTTGCACTAGTTGTTTTTGGCTGAACTTTACAATAACCTGGGGAGCTTAAAAAAATATTTATGCCAAGGCCCGCCATGGTATGATTTAATTGGTGTGCGATAAGACCTGGATGTTTTGTTTTTTAGAGTTCCCCCAAGTGGTTTTAATGTGCCTGCAAGGTACAGAAGATCAGAGAAAGTGAATTATTGGACTGGAAATGGCTACTTAGCCTGCTTTACTGGAGCAGGGAGCTGTGGATTGGAGATTAATAAAGGGTCTTTGAATCCACAATGGGAAGTCATAATTTGATTCTAGAAGCAGGACTCAGAAGGATATAAAGCTATGGGAATGGTGGTTGAAAAAGTTCTGACCTCAATAGTTAGGAGCTCTAGAGTCAGTGGGAAAAGCAGCATTCACTTCAGGCTGCAGAGCTGTGTCCAGAGCCTGTGATTAAAAAAAGTTGGCGGGACTGGGGGAGCACAGATGAGACTGGTACCCTATGCCTATGCTGTATACCTAACTAACTTCCAGAATGGTGAGGCTAGTGCCTCCTTATAAGAGCAGTTTAGTGAAGAACAAGAAGAGACTTTAGTGACATCCTTACCAACTTGGATTTAACAATAACACATTTTTTTTTTGTTATTGTCGTTTTTTTTGTTTTGAGACGGAGTCTCACTCTGTGGACCAGGCTGGAGTGCACTGGCGCGATCTTGGCTCACTGCAAGCTCCGCCTTTCGGGTTTGCGTCATTCTCTGCCTCAGCCTCCGGAGTAGCTGGGACTACAGGCGCCTGGCTATTTATTTTATTTTATTTTATTTATTTGTATTTTTAGTAAAGACAGACGTGGTTTCACTGTGTTAGCCAGGATGGTCTCTATCTCCTGACCTGGTGATCCGCCTGCCTCAGCCTCCCAAAGTGTTGGGATTACAGGCTTGAGTCACCGCGCCCGGCCAACACTTGGTTTTAATGCCTTATTTTTGAATTTGGAAGAACTAGGATGTTTCTGTATAAGCACTAGACTTTATTTTACATGAATTTCGGCCATTAGTAGTAATCAAATCTGCACTTGAAAGGTTGCTGGATGCGGTGGCTCATGCCTGTAATCCCAGCACTTTGAGAGGCTGAGGTGGATCACTTGAGGTCAGGAGTTCGAGACTAGCCTGGCCAACATGGTGAAACCCCGTCTCTACTAAAAATACAAAAATTAGCCGGGGATGGCGGCGCATGCCTGTAATCCCAGCTACTTGGGAGGCTGAGGCAGGAGAATCACTTGAACCCAGGAGGCAGAAGTTGCAGTGAGGAGATCGCACCACTGCACTCCAGCCTGGGCAACAGAGCCAGACTCAGTCTCAAGGAAAAAAAAAAAAAAAAAGTTGAAATCGAAAGGTTGTCTACTGAGGAGATTCAAGAGAACATATAGCAATTACCAACATAAAACCTGTCATCTGCATAAAGAGTTTCTAAGCCCTAGGTGTCTGTTGTGTTAGTATGTTAGTAGCATACTCAGTTACCTGAGCAGTGGAGAGATACCATGGAGTCACTAAGAACTGATGAGAAGCCAGTGAACTTTACTCATCTACAGTGTCAAAACTTGTAAAGGTAATGAAATGCTTATTTGAAGGAGACTGAGAATGAACTCAAGAGGAAAAAAGTATTTTCTCCAAACATTGCATATGTATAAAGCAAAAATTTTCAGAAATAAGAGAAGGAGAACATGTATGTGTTTGGGTGTTTAAGTTTGAAATAAAATGTTGCCAAAAGGAGGGTCTGTAAAGGGCAGAGATATTAAAAAAATGCCTTTGCTAGAGCAAATTGCCCTAAAACTTTATAATACAAAATATTTGACTGTATTTCTCCCCCAACCCCACATTAATACTTTCTGCCCCTTTAAGTGGTCTGGGAGCTTTGTCACCTTACTCCTAGTGCCCATCCCCTCCATAAAGCCCTGCCTCTGATTTTTTTTATCACACTGAGGCTGTCACTTGTATTGTAACCTAAATTGTTGCTTGGTCCAATGCAGTGGTTCATGCCTGTAACCCCAGCACTTTGGGAGGCCAAGGCAGGCAGATTGCCTGAGTTCAGGAGTCGAGACCAGCCTGGGCAACATGGTGAAACTCCGTCTCTACTAAAATACAAAAAAATTGGCTGAGTATGGTGGCACGTGCCTGTAGTCCCAGCTACTCGGGAGGCTGAGGCAGGAGAATAGCTTGAACCCGGGAGGCGGAGGTTGCAGTGATTGGGTGACACAGCAAGACTCTGTCTCCAAAAAAAAAGAGTTACTCTTCCTTGGAGTTTGGCATAACTAGGCACAGTGTCCTAAAATGAAGGTGGAAAGCTGTGACCAGGGACATGCCAGTGGTGGAGGAAGCCTGAGAAGCTGAGCTGCCTTCCTTTCCCTATCCCGGTGACCACATTGTACTTCGTAGCCTGCTCATTAAATTAGGTATGGGGCAAAAAACCAAGATAGGAGTGCAAATTTGGTTACCCTCTTCACTTAACTAACAGTGAATCTAGAGGTTTTCTTCCTCAAATAAAGCTTTATTGCAGTTGTTGGAAAGACGCAGAGCACCAGAAATCTTTAGGAAATAGTAGACATAAATGTTCTGGCGTTGATGCATCCCCTCTCCATTGGCCTCTCCTGTATTTTTTTTTTTTGAAGTGAACATAAACTCAAGATTTTATTGTATTCATAATAAAAGATGACACTTAGAACTGGATCACTTGGCCCTTTTTCCGGAAAATCGGCTTAGTTTGCCCACCATAGCCACTCTGCTTCCTGTCATAACGCCGCTTTCCCTGGGCATGCAGAGAATCCTTGCCCTTCTTGTACTGTGTCACTTTATGGGGTTGGTGCTTGCCACACTTCTTACAGAAAGTCCGTCGGGTTTTAGGGACGTTAACCATGCTTGCGTGAGCGCTATCGGCACGGAAAGAAAGAAGCCGCGCCGCAAACGGAAGTATACCTTTTTTTTTTTTTTTTTTTTTTTTTTTTTTGAGATGGAGTCTCACTCTGTCGCCAGGCTGGAGTGCAGTGGTGCGATCTCGGCTCACTGCAAGCTCCGCCTCCCGGGTTCACGCCATTCTCCTGCCTCAGCCTCCCGAGTAGCTGAGACTACAGGCGCCCGCCACCACGCCCGGCTAATTTTTTTGCATTTTTAGTAGAGATGGGGTTTCACCGTGTTAGCCAGGATGGTCTCGATCTCCTGACCTCGTGATCTGCGCACCTCGGCCTCCCAAAGTGCTGGGATTACAGGCGTGAGCCACCGCGCCCGGCCTCTCCTGTATTCTTTAGTTCAGCATCTATCACTTCAAATATCCTGTCCAGAGCAGTAACAATAAAATTCCTAGGGGAGGGGATGAAAAGCAGTCAGTTCCCACCTGAGAGACTGAGGGGCCAGGCCTGGGTCCTTCCCTAACAAGAAACGTGTGTTAACCGTGATACATGGCATTTATAATCCACTTTATCCAGTTGCTCATTCTGCTCCTCGGTACGTTAGATAACTGTCTCCTAGTCACCCAGTGATTTCCGGAAACCAGTCTTATGACTGAACACTTCTCCCAGTGCAGGGTCTCTCCCACTCTTGGGGATCTCTCTGTCTCATCAGTCCGTTGATCATGGGAGGACCTATAACGGGGCCCACAGCCTGTGCAGCTACAGCAGCTTCCTCCTCATTCCCTGCTTGTTTTCCTTCTGGGAAGTTCTCCTTAATCACTCCCTTCACTACCTTCCTGCTGGTATCCACTACGGCCTTTTATGGCCTGTGGTTGCTAGGCTTGGTGGTTATAAAATAATGTTAGTGGCCAGGTGCGGTGGCTCATGCTTGTAATCCCAGCACTTGGGGAGGCCAAGGCGGGTGGATCATGTGAGGTCAAGAGTTTGAGACCAGCCTGGCCAACATGGTGAAACCCCACCTCTACTAAAAATACAAAAATTAGCTGGGCATGGTGGCAAGCGCCTGTAATCCCAGCTACTCGGGAGGCTGAGGCAGGAGAATTGTTTGAACTTGGGAGACGGAGGTTGCAGTGAGCCGAGATTGAGCCACTGCATTCCATCCTGGGTGACAGAGTGAGACTCTGTCTCAAAAATAAATAAAATAAAATATTGCAAGTACAATGAAGCCTGTGCATTTAAATTGTTTGAGTTGAGTAGCTTTGCTCATATATCTCTTTTTTTTTTTTTTTGAGACCGAGTCTTGCTCTGTCGCCAGGCTGGAGTACAGTGGAAGGATCTCGGTTCACTGCAACTTCCACCTCCTGGGCTCAAGCGACTCTTCTGCCTCAGCCTCCAGAGTAGCTGGGACTACAGGCGCACACCACCATGCCTGGCTAAGTTTTGTATTTTTAGTAGAGATGGGGTTTCACCATATTGGCCAGGCTGGTCTCAAACTCTTGACCTCATGATTTGCCCGCCTCGGCTTCCCAAAGTACTGGGATCATCTTAACAATGAATGGGACCTCTAGCTCTGAGCAACTACTCTGGTCACAAAGGGTGATAGTGTTGATGGCTGCATGAAAATCCACCCGCTGTGAAGGAGAAATGTGAAGTAGACACACTACAGCGATGTCTTACTATGTAACAAAGGACATCGTTATAACTAGTTAAGTGCTTAGGAAGGGAAGTCATTTTAAAGGCTTTATACAGAAAAGATAGCATAAATGTTTGGGACTAACCTAGTCCTTCCTTTATCACCTCTAGGAAAGAGAAAAGATAGTTGATAATCTACAGTGCAGAAGACGTGTTCTGAAATGTGGCTCGCTGGTGGAAATGAATTTGCCTAGAGCTTTTCAGACTTAACTTGCCTGGTTCCTCTAATAAAAGTGGACGTGATGTTTACAATCAGGGCCAGGAAGCAGGGAAGGAAATCACTGACTTCTGGGAGCATGGACTTTACTGGCCTATAAGCTCCTTGAGGATAATCTTAAGTCTGTGAATACTCATTTCTGTATCCTAGAAGTGTGCCTAGCAGAGAAAGTACTTGGTAACTGTTCTTCTGAATATGGCCTTCTAAGCACATGTCTCACGTAGGCCAATAATGTCCTTTATTTTATGAAGTGCAGTGGAACTTAAAGGTACTAGCAGGTCTGCTTCCACACAAGGTGATGAGCCTCAGAGATCTCTTCCTTAACAAGACAGGGACTGGTCCTTTAGGAAAACAAAGTAAATACTATTTTGAGAATAATTACAAAAACACCTTTTGGGGGTAACTATCTTTGCAGAATGCTCGCTATGTGCCAGGCACAATTCTCATTTAATTTTACAACATTAAAATAGAGTTGCCATTATTTTCTTCATTTATATATGAAGAGAATGAGGCTCAGAGAAGTTAAATAAGTTGCTCAAAGTCATAGCTAGTGAGTGGTGATTTTGGGATTTAAACTCAGGTGTATGCAACTGCAAAGCTCACCCTCTTCCTAAACAGTACCTGGCACACAGTAGGTGTTCAATAAATACATTTGGAATGACTGAATTTTCCCCTCCTCCATCTTCATCAGCTTATACTGGCCTCTCCCTGGCTCCTCCTCTGACCTGGCCTGATGTTTCAAAGTGACACTGACCTGCCTTTAAAGGGTTTTATTTGTAGAGAAGGGATCTCGCTGTGTCACCCAGGCTGGTCTTGAACTCCTGGCCTCAGCCTTGGCCTCCAAAGTGTTGGGATTACAGGTGTGAGCCACCATGACTGCCCGATTTAAAGGTTTATTTATTTATTTATTTGACACAGGATCTTTGCTATGCCGCCCAAGCTGGAGCACAACGGCACAATCACAGCTCACTGCAACCTCCAACTCCTGAGTTCAAGCAATCCTACAGCCTTAGCCTCCTGAGTAACTAGGAGTACAGGCATTAGCCATCATGCCCGGGTAATTTTTATTTTTTATTTTATTATTATTATTATTATTTTTTTTTGAGACGGAGTCTTGCTCTGTTGCCCAGGCTAGAGTGCAGTGGCGCGATCTCGGCTCACTGCAAGCTCCGCCTCCCGGGTTCACGCCATTCTCCTGCCTCAGCCTCCCGAGTAGCTGGGACTACAGGCGCCGCCACCACACCCGGCTAATTTTTTTGTATTTTTAGTAGAGACGGGGTTTCACCGTGTTAGCCAGGATGGTCTCGATCTCCTGACCTCGTGATCCGCCCGTCTTGGCCTCCCAAAGTGCTGGGATTACAGGCGTGAGCCACGGCGCCCGGCCTTATTATTATTTTTTGAGATGGAGTCTCGCTCTGTTGCCCAGGCTGGAGCGCACTGGCGCGATCTTGGCTCACTGCAACCTCCGCTTCGGAGGTTGAAGCGATTCTCCTGCCTCAGCCTCCCGAGTAGCTAGGATTATAGGCCCACGCCACCACGCCCGGCTAATCTTTTTGTATTTTTAGTAGAGACGGGGTTTCACCATGTTGGCCAGGCTGGTCTCGAACTCCTGACCTCAGGTGATCCGCCTGCCTCAGCCTCCCAATGTGCTGGGATTACAGATGTGAGCCACCGCGCTCGGCTAATTTTTATTTTTTATAGGGATGGGGTGTCAATATGTTGCTCAGTCTGGTCTCGAACTCCTGGGCTCAAGTCGTTCTCCTGCTTCAGCCTCTCAGAGTGCTGAGATTACAGGTGTGAGGCACCACGCCCAACCCAATTTCAAGGTGTTTGAAGAGGCCACTGTTAAAATGCACTGCACCTTACCTGGGAGAAAGAGCTCAGCCCTCTTTTGACACCTTAACATGAATCACTTCTCTATCATCCATAACAGTGCAAAAGCTCTGGGATGGGTCCAGGTAAATCTGGATTGGGAAGAAGGGGAGTGGGAGGTAAAGTCTGCAAAGGAGTGAGGGAAGGCAGAAGGCCAGAAGAAAGTGTCTGAAGACAGAATTACTCCTGCAAAATTTTCACAAGGGTCAGGCACTATTTTCTCCCGGGATGCCCAATACATTTGCAGAATTAACAGTAATCAAGCCCACAGTCCAGGTCCTCGCATAGTTTGGGCCTTTAAAGTCGGCCATCCCAGATTGAGGGGGCCTGACCCCTGGGCGAGGCCGCCGCCTCTCAGTTTTGGGGCGGTGGCGACCCCAGTCCGGGAGTGGCCCCGGTAGGTCCCCGCAGGCGGGCAGGAGCTCCGAGGCCATTGGCTGGCGCGCGGGCTGCCAAGGGGCGGGGAGCGCCGCCGAAGGGGACTGTTTGCTCCTACGGGCTGTAGATGGAGCTGTCCGGCCCCGGAGAGGGGGAAGGCGCCTGGAAAACGTTCTTCTTCTCCCTGGCCGACCCGAGCGGGGAACAGCACTCCCAGGATGCAGTTTGTGTCAACACGGCCGCAGCCTCAGCAGCTGGGCATCCAGGGCCTGGGGCTGGACAGCGGGAGCTGGAGCTGGGCCCAGGCTCTGCCCCCGGAGGAGGTCTGCCACCAGGAGCCGGCGCTGCGCGGGGAAATGGCCGAGGGAATGCCGCCCATGCAGGTGGGAGAACCCCGCCGGCGCCATGGCCGCGCTGCCGTGGGGGCGGGGCGCGGGCTGGGCCGCGGGACCGGGCCGCGCCGTCCTCCGGTAGCCTTGCGGCGCCCTCCCAGCTTCCGCGCCCAGGCGAGGCCCGAGGCGGGCGGGGCACGGCCGGGCTGCGCGGCGGGCAGGACGGAGCGGGCCCGACGCAGGCCCGGAAGGGCAGGCCTGGCCCGCGCGGCGCGGAGCAGCGGTCGCCGGGCCCAAGTGCGGAGGCCCCGCGGGGCGGGGGCCGGGACCGTCCTTTCCGGGACCTGGCAGAGCTCTGACCCTGTGGCTGAGCCCCGGCTTGGGGCTCCCTTTGCGCCCGGCCGGCGGAGAGCTTCGCGGGCAGTGCTTCCGCCCGGCCGCAGAAGTGAATGCCTCGTTCGTGTTTACACGGTGGCCAATTTGACGGGGATATTTTTTAAATGTTTGATTACCACCTTTCACCAAGTGTAATGAGTAATTCACTCTCCCCCTGCACCGGGTGTGATCCAGGGAGGGGGCCATGGAGAGATGACTTCGGGGTCTTTCCTGCGGTTGACAAACTTGGCCGCATGTTGGAATGGCCTGGGCAGCTTTTAAGACTCCTGAGCCCTTGCCTGGTCCCAGAGCTCAGGGTCTCTGACGGGTGAGAGTAGCACCAGGCATTTCTTCAGGCTCCATCGATGATCTCCGTGGGCAGAACCGGTGCTCCAGAATTGGGTATAAAACCAGGGGAGGTGGATCCTCAGAGAGGCCTGAAAGCTTGCCCAGGGAAGACTCTCTGGGCCCACCCTGGGGCTGGGCTGCTCAGGGGCCCCTCTGCTCACCACGCGGCTCTCAGCCAGGTGCTAACGAGGGAGCCAGGGGCTGCTGTGTTGTGTTTGATCATTTTCAGGGTTAGGGCTTCAAACCCGAGAAAACTAAACTGGGCCCCGGGACTTTCTTAACTTCTACTGTGGACTCTGTCCCCTTCTGTGGGCTAGGGCGGAGTGGAGCCTCTGTGATGGAGGAATGGGTGCTTTTGATGGAAACACCAGCACCTCTTACTGGTATTACAGGGCCTGGCGATCCTAGGGCCCTGCTCTCCACTCTGCTGTGTCCCGGAGCAGGTCTGCCCCGGAGCAGGGCTGCTCTTGAGTCAGAGAGTGGGGCTGGTCTGCCCAGATCGCCCCAAGCAGCAGGCCTCCCCTTTTCCTAGCCTGAGGGCCTTTTCTGCAGCCATCGGGAGGACAGAAAATGACACCTCTTCCTGTCCCAGGTGTGAAGGAGAGTCGGCTGCCAGCCCATGTGGTCCAGTGAGCCCTGAGTCTGACACCAGGTCCCAGATGACCAGTGAACTGTCACCAGCCTCAACCAGCCCCCCTTAGCCATAGGTCTCAGCTCTCAATTGCACCAATTAGTTTACCCTTCTGGGGTGAGGGCTCTGTGCTGGAAGATAAAAGGGGGAGTCCCCAGGCCATGGGGCACCCCTTCCCCAGGAAGCAAGGAGGGGTCCCAGAGGAGTTTTTCTTTCTCTTGGTCCTCTTGGGTGTGAGGGACATCCCCTCTTCACCTCTAATGAGTGACCTTTTTTAGTGAACCTATTTTCAATTTGGAAAATGTTTATGAAACAGTAGTTGTATATGGGGGGAAGCTGCTTTTCTGCCCTAGCTTGGGCTCTCCGGTCTTTTCCTTGACTGCAGCCCTGGTAGGAATGTGGTGGGTTTTTTTGTTGTTTATTTGTTTGTTCCGAGACGGAGTCTTGCTCTGTTGCCCAGGCTGGAGTGCAGTGGCACCATCTCGGCTCACTGCAACCTCCGCTTCCCAGGTTCAAGCGATTCTCCTGCCTCAGCCTCCCAAGTAGCTGGGATTACAGGAGCCCACCACCACACCCGGCTAATTTTTGTGTTTTTAGTAGAGACAGGGTTTCGCCATGTTGGCCAGGCTGGTCTTGAACTCCTGACCTCAAGTGAGCTGCCTGCCTTGGCCTCCCAAAGTGCTGGGAAGGTGTGAGCCACTGCACCTGGCCAGGAATGTGTTTTTTGTTACCTGCAGCATCTAGAGCTGCCCCAGCTGGCAGTGCAGGGAGGCGCTGCGGAGTGACCAGCTGCCTCCCTGTGCTTCAGTTTCATCATCTTTAAGGCAGAGATCATCATTCTTGCCCTAACCTGCTGAGAGATTGCTGGGAAGATTAGCGTCAGCTAACTTACATCAAAGTTCTTGGAAACATAAAACACTAGGCAAATACAAAGTTCGTCATTAAGGCTAGCCCTTGAAGAAATCAGTTGGTCTATTCAAAGAAAGTGGCCTGTGACATTTTAGGCAGGGGTTGCAGCCTTAACTTGCTAAGGGTCAATGTGGGTGAACCAGTGACCAGCCTGACTCACCTAGGCAGGAGATGGGAGAGTGTTGAGTTGGGTGGGTGGGTGAGTGGGTAGCTGTTGCTGGGGGTGTTAGTGTATCCTGAGTTACGGGGGCCTGGCAGAAGAAAGACGACATGTAGCATCTGATTAGTTGACCCCTGTTCCCAGCTGACTTCCCCGGCTCACACAAGGTCTCATCCTGGGTTGTCGCTTTCTCCCTCTGCATACAGGCTCAAGAATGGGACATGGACGCCCGGCGGCCAATGCCTTTTCAGTTCCCACCCTTTCCAGATAGGGCACCTGTCTTCCCCGACCGCATGATGCGAGAGCCCCAGTTGCCCACAGCAGAGATCTCACTCTGGACTGTGGTGGCTGCCATTCAGGCTGTGGAGAGGAAGGTGGATGCCCAGGCCAGCCAGCTGCTGAACCTGGAGGGGCGCACGGGGACAGCCGAGAAGAAGCTGGCCGACTGTGAAAAGACGGCCGTGGAATTTGGGAACCACATGGAGAGCAAGTGGGCCGTGCTGGGGACCCTGCTGCAGGAGTACGGGCTGCTGCAGAGGCGGCTGGAGAACTTGGAGAACTTGCTGCGCAACAGGAACTTCTGGGTCCTGCGGCTGCCCCCGGGCAGCAAGGGGGAGGCCCCCAAGGTATGTGGTGGTCCCTGGGGCAGGGATAGAGGTGAGGAACAGCACAGGTGCATAAAATTCTTGATTTCATTTTGTCAGCCCTTCTCATAAACTTCTCTGGCTCCCCGTTATCCAATTTCAGTGTCTTCTTAAAGCCTGTCTCCACTGAAACAACCTGGTCTTGGACGTTCTACCCCAGCAAGGCTCACTCCATTCATTCCCCACAGTCTGCATTTCTGTCTGGGAGCCTTTGCTCTCGCTGTTCCTAGACCCCTCTGAGTTGTCTGGTTGTCTGCAAGTTCTTGCAGCTCTTCACTCCTTGGTTTTCCCACTTGACACCTACCAGCGATCATGTGTCATTGGCTGTCTTGGTATATGCTCACCGGAATGTGGCTGGAGTCGCACCTCAAACCAGGCTGCCTGGAGTTGCTTTCAAGTCGTAGTCACTTATCTCAGGGGGGCCCTTCTTAAAGTTCAGAATGCACACTCCGTATCTTACTCCGTTCCCTCTCCTGCTTTCCTCCCGGATCCTCAATGCTGCTTTTCAGTTCACTGAGAGAACGGAGTCACCCAGAAGAGGCGTCCACATGCAGCCAGCTTGTTCTTCCATCTGCTGCTCGGTGGCCACAGACTCTGCTTTCCCTTGTTCCTGTGGCTTGATGTCCCCTGCCCACCCCAGGAGGTCACCCCCAGCGTCTCTCTCCTTTCTCCTCTGAGTCATCAGCTCTCCCCCCTCTGCTGGGCTATTCCCACCAGCATGTGACTGTTCTGTCCTGCTGTCCGTCTTTAACAGAAAACCTCCCTGGGCCCTGCATCTACCTGCATTGGTGCCTCATTTCTCCACTCCTCTTTAGAGCAGAACCCCTTGAAAGAGTTGTCTATACTTGTTGTCTCCAATTCTTTCTTCCCCATTTTCTCTCCTTCCCTCCCTTTTCCCCTTCTCTTTATTATAGAATATTCAAATAAAAATAGACAGAATAGTATAATGGGTCCCCATGTATCCAAATTCCAGCTGCATTAGCTGCTAACTCTTGGCCAGTCTTGTTTCACCTAAATCCCTGCCCACTTCCCCACTCCCATTTTATTTTGAAGCAAACCCCAGACATTAGTCATTTCCTTTGCAAATATGTCAGTATTAGCTCAAAAGGTAAAGACTCTTTTTTTTTTAAGTGATAATCTCAATGTTATTACCACCACCACCATAGTAAAAGCTTCAGCCTAGATCACTGTCTAGCCAGTGATTAGATTTTCAGTTGTTTCAATTTTTAAAAACATTTTTTTAGTTTGAATTAGGATTCAAGTAATGTCCACACATTATGTTTGAGATGTCTCTTAAGTCTTTTTTAATCTGCGGGCATCTCTTCCATCTATTATTTTTCCTTTCAGTTTATCTGGAAGGAATTGGGCCACCTGTCCTGTTTTGCATCTCGCTGTCTGGATTCCACTGATTACGTCCCCTGTGGTCTCATTTAACATGTTCCTCTATTCTCAGTATTCCAGTTGATTGGTAACTGGATCTTTCTCTCTGGAACGCACTCTGATCAGGCCTTTGCTCACTAATGATGTCCGTGGTGTTACAGCCAGTGGTTGCTTCTCAGTCTTCATCCTCCCTGTCCTGTCAGCAGCATTGTGTGTAGGTGACCACTCTCTCCGTGAAACCCCTTGCCGTGGCTTCTGGGACACCTCTCTCTGCTGAGTCTTTTCCTACCTCACCAGCTGCTGTGTCTCATTGTTTGCCAATTTTGCCTCCTTTGGCCAGCTTTCTAATGCATGGAGTGGGCCAGACCTCTGTCTTGGCCTTTTGCTCTTTATTTACTCTCCTCCCTCATGACTGCATCCCGTCTCACAGTCTTTATTATTTATTTATTTATTTATTTTTTTTGAGACAGAGTCCCGCTCTGTTGCCCAGACTGGAGTGCAGTGACGTGATCTTGGCTCACTGCAACCTCTGCCTCCAGGGTTCAAGTGATTCTCCTGCCTCAGCTGCCCTAGTAGGTGGGATTACAGGCATCTGCCACCATGCCCACCTAATTTTTTGTATTTTTAGGGGAGACGGGGTTTCACCATGTTGGCCAGGCTGGTCTCGAACTCCTGACCTCAGGTGATCCACCTGCCTGGGCCTCCCAAAGTGCTGAGGTTACAGGCGTGAGCCACCACGCCCAGCTAGTCTCACATTATTAAAAGCAATCTGTATGCTCTCACCTCCCAAATAGATGCTTTCTCTCCCCTGCTCCCTTTCTATATGTTGCCCAGCTTTCTTTCTGGAATGCCAGATTCACATTCCTACCTATTAATTCATTTGGATGTCAGTAAATCTTAGATTTAACATGTCCAAAGTGAACTGCGGATCGCCTGCCTGAGACCTGTTCTACCTGAAGTTGTCCTCATCTCCGTTGATGACGGATGGTTCCATCCTTTCAAGTGCTCAGGCCAAAGCCTTGGAGTCATACTTGTCTCCTCTCTTTCTCACACCCTACTTCCAATCTATTAGTAAATACCCTGATTTTTCTTCAGAATATATCCACAACCTGGCCACTCCTCACCACCTCCACTCCCATCGCCATCGTCTGGTCCCAGGCACCATGGTCTTTCATCTGATTTTTGCCATGGCCTCCTGGTGGGTCTCATTGTCTTCATCCTTGTCCCCCCACCCATACAGTCTATCTCAACACAGCAGCCAGAGTGATCCTTTGAAAATGTGAAGCAGTCACATCACACCTCTGCTTAAACCTCCCAAATGGCTGGGCACGGTGGCTCACGCCCATAATCCCAGCACTTTGGAAGGCCGGGCAGGTGGGTCATGTGAGATCAGGAGTTCAAGACCAGCCTGGCCAACATGGTGAAACCCCATCTCTACTAAAAATACAAAAATTAGCTGGGCATGGTGGCAGGCACCTGTAATCCCAGCTACTCAGGAGGCTGAGGCAGGAGAATTGCTTGAACCTGGGAGGCAGAGGCTGCAGTGAGCTGAGATCTTACCACTGCACTCCAGCCTGGGTGACAGAGTGAGAATCTGTCTTAAAAAAAACCCAAAAAACACCTCCCAAATGGCTTCCCATCTGATTAGAATAAAAGCCCATGTCTGTTTATGGCCCACGCTCTCTTCCCCTGCCTCTCTGACCTCCTCTGCATCCACTCCCTCCTGCTCACTCCCATCTGTGCTGTTCTGCCAGCACACCACGTGCGCCCCCAGCTCAGGGACTCTCCACTGAGAAGCTCCTGCCCTGAATATCTGCATGGCCGTCCTCGCCACCTCTTCCATCAGGGTCTGCTGAGGTGCCACTTCATCAGCATGCCCTTCTACAACCATCCTATATGAAAGAACCACGTCCCCCAAGCACACTCGTCTCCCTGCCCTTACTCGAATTTTCTACAAAGCACTTTTGCCATTGACATCTTAAATATTTAAGATATGCTTCTTTTTTTTTTTTTTTTTTTTGAGACAGAGTCTTGCCCAGGCTGGAGGGCAGTGGTACAATCTCGGCTCACTGCAACTTCTGCCTCCCAGGTTCAAGCGATTCTCCTGCCTCAGCCTCCCGAGTAGCTGGAATAACAGGCATGTGCCACCATGCCCGGCTAATTTTTCTTTTTTTTTTTTGAGACGGAGTCTTGCTCTATTGCCCAAGCTGGAGTGCAGTGGTGCGAACTCGGCTCACTGTAAGCTCTGCCTCCCGGGTTCACACCATTCTCCGGCCTCAGCCTCCCAAGTAGCTGGGATTACAGGCACACATCACCACGCCCGGCTAATTTTTCTATTTTTTTTTAGTAGAGACGGGGTTTCACTATGTTGGTCAGGCTGGTTTCGAACTCCTGACCTCGTGATCTGCCCGCCTTGGCTTCCCAGAGTGCTGGGATTACAGGTGTGAGCCACCGCGCCTGGCCTAATTTTTGTATTTTTTAGTAGAGACAGGGTTTCACCATGTTGTCCAGGCTGGTCTCAAACTCCTGACCTCAAGTGATCCATCCGCCTCAGCCTCCCAAAGTGCTGGGATTACAGGCGTGAACCACTGCACCTGGCCTTATGATATTATTCTTAAGTTTTGTATTGCTTTTTTTGTCTTCTTGGTTGGTTTTCCCCAACCAGAGTGTAAATTCTGCTTGGTTGCCTGCTGCATCCCTGTGCCTGGAATGGTACCTGGCTTAGACTGGTATGCAAAAAATGTTTGTGGAGTGCCTCTCTCCAGCTGGAGAGCTAACAGCTTCCTGGCAGGGACTGGGTCTTGTGTGTCTCTGTGTCTGCTGAGGCAACCACCCCAATGACTTTGCCAGAGGAGTTGTTTGACGTTACTCATTGAGGCTTCACAGAACTGAGTTGTAATCGTGGCTCTGGTTCCTCAGCAAAACATTTCCTGGCACTGCAGCCACAGAGGCTGGTTTTTAGTATGGTTTTGCATATGTCGCTTGTCTAGCACAATCAGCATTTACGTACACACTGCCCTTTTCTTTTGTCTGTTCTGTGTGTCTCAGCGCATATCCTTGTGTGGCACTGTGGCGTGTTCTGTGCGCTGCATTAGGCATTAGAGGAGACTTGACTTGACAAGGGCTCTTACAGAATAATGAAATGGTTTTGGGGTCTGGAATCAGAGGACTTGGGTTTAAATCCTGACTTTGCCACTTACTGGTTTTTTGTTTTTTTGGGACGGTCTCACATTGTCATCCAGGCTGGAGTACAGTTATACAATCATAGCTCATGCAGCTTTGAACTCCTGGGCTCAAGCAATCCTTCCACCTCAGTCTCTCAATTAATTAGGACTATAGGCACATGCCACCACACCCAGTTAAGTTTTTTATTTATTTTTATTCTTTGTAGTGACAGGGTCTTGCTTTGTTGCCGAGGCTGGTCTTGAACTTCTGGGCTCAAGCAGTCTTCCTGCCTTGGCTTCCCAAAGTGCTGGGATTATAGGCTTGAGCCACTGCATGAGGCCTGCTTGTACTGATTTTCCTATCATTGGTCAAATGTATTTTTTGTTGTTTCTGAGCCTCCTTAATTCCTCTTTTGAAGGAAGTGAAGTATAAACAATTCAGTAAATTCCCAGCTGGTTTCTCTGAGTTTCAGGGTTATTATCAATAAAACGAAGATGATAATATGCTTACTTCATGGAGTTGTGAGGATTAATTAATTTTATTTGTGGGAAGACACTATGTAGATTATTGTGTTAGTTACCTATTGCTGTATAACAGATTACCTCAAAATGTAGCAGCCCAGCCTAAAAAATAATTATTTATCATCTCACCATTTCTGTGGGTCAGGAACTGGGGAGCAGCTTAGGTGAGTGGGTCTGGCTCAGAGTCCCATGAGGTTACAGTCAAGCTGTTGAATGGGGCAGCAGTTATCTGAAGGTTTGACTGGGGCTGGAGGGCCTGATTCCGGCATGGCTCACTCACGTACCTGTTGGTGGGAGGCACGTGGTCTTGGGGGAGGAAGAGGAAAAAGTAAAAAAGACACGTGCCAGATGGACGGGAGGCAACATAATTACGGGAACCAAGCAGGATAAAATTCTAGAAAGATGATTTGACCTTTCGAAGAGGTCAGAATTGTTGAGGATTTCAACAGAAGGTCGCTGATGATCTTCCAGAGTGTGGTTTCAGAGAATGGAAGGTACAGAGGCAGAATCTAAGGGGGTAAAGAATGCATAGATGGTGAAGAGGAAAAAACAGAATGTGTCTCTTGGGATGTTCCCAGTGAATGGGGAGGGCAGAGTGACCTGAGGGAGCAGCGTGTTGAGGGAAGGTTTTTCTGAGGTTGGAATGACCCTGAAGGACGGAGCCAGTAGAGAGGGAGAAACTGATGACTTAGATTAAGCTTCACAGGCAGGAGGTGGAGGAAGAGGTGAAGGGCACATACCGTCGGCCTTGGATTTGCAAGGAGAGGGGCAAGAAAGGAGCTTGCCGGCGCCTACCTGAGATCAAAGACAGACAGATGTGGGAGGTCACTTAAAGGTCTGGGAGAATGAAACGTTTGAAACAAGCCTCCCGGAGAACATAGCAAGGTGTCAGCAAGAGACAAACAAGAAGCTTCTGAAGCAGCCGTGAGACAGCGGTATGAATTGGTGGTGGATGTCATCTGCGGAGTTCTAGTAACAGAGAATTAAAATGAAGAAAGGGGGCTGGGCACGGTGGCTCACGCCTGTAATACCAACACTTGGGGAGGCCAAGGCAGGCGGATCACGGGGTCAGGAGATCGAGACCATCCTGGCTAACATGGTGAAACCCTGTCTCTACTAAAATAACAACAACAACAAAAAAATTAGCCAGGCGTGGTGGCACACACCTATAGTCCCAGCTACTGGGGAGGCTGAGGCAGGGGAATTGCTTGAAACTGGGAGGCGGAGGTTGCAGTGAGCCAAGACTGTGCCACTGCACTCCAGCCTGGAGACAGAGCGAGACTCCGTTTCAAAAAAATAAAAATAAAAAACAAAATGAAGAGGCCAGGTGCAGTGGCTCACCCCTGTAATCCCAGCAATTTGGGAGGCTGAGGTGGGTGGATTACAAGGTCAGGAGTTTGAGACCAGCCTGGCCAATATGGCGAAACCCCGTCTCTACTAAAAATACAAAAATTAGCCGGGCGTGGTGGCAAGCGCCTGTAATCCCAGCTACTCGGGAGGCTGAGGCAGGAGAATCACTTGAACTCGGGAAGCAGAGGTTGCAGTGAGCTGGTATCGCGTCACTGCACTCCAGTCTGGGCGACAGCGAGACTCTGTCTCAAAAAATAAATAAATAAAAATAAAAATAAAATGAAGAAAGGGATCTGTATTAATTTTCCCAGGTTGGGGCTTTTCCTGCATCTGGTGGAAGGTCCAGTAGCTAAAGATTCTAGTTCTGATTGTAAAGATGGACAGTGAGTTGTCAGTCCGTAGGGGTGGGGCCATGGCACTGAGGTGTAGACATCGCACCTGCGCATGGCATTCTCAGAGTTACAAGCACCTGGTAAAAGGGCTGACATTTCTAACTTACATAAAGGTGCTGCCCACTCACCATGCTGAGTAGTGGTAGCTGTGCTCCTGACTTTGCCTTTTCTAACTCACCCCAAGGTGCCATACAAGCCAGCTTTGGCCCTGTAAATGCAGATACGTAGATGAATGGACTGTAATCACAGGATGGGGGAGGATTGAGGGGTCGGATTTCAGACCGAGAGTGAAAGGCTGGTTCAGTCGGAATGTGAAAGTGGTAAGAGGGAAGGCTGTGTGTCCAGAGGAGGAAGTTCAGTTATCAAAGTCATGGAAGTGAAACGATTTTGGACAATTCGGTCCAAGTTGAGGTCGTGCTGGTGAGTGGCTGAAGTGAGTGATTGCAAACTGAAATCGGCTTTCTGTAACAGATCCGAACACACTTGTCATCAGTCTGACAAGTGACTGACACCACGCGACGACTCGGGCCGCAGTGGAGCTTCCTGGTGTTGGCACTCGCTGCGCAGCACACTCAAGTATTTATTGATTCCCTACTGTATGCTCCTTGATGATCAAGATAGGGTAGTGAACGAAGTGGACCAAGGTCCTGAACCTTAGCACAGGCCTTAGATTTTATATGCTTTGCTGACAAAGAGGTAACTGTGTGCACAGAGGTGACCTGACCTGAAATACAGGTTTGGTAACCAGGTTTTACTCTACCTGGCTCACGGATACCCACTCTGAGAACCCATTACCCCTCTGTCACCCTGAATACCAAAAGAAGCATATTGACTACTCTTTACCCTCAGGTATCCAGTTGACCTAAAAGTGAAATAACAATGGATGTGGCTAAATGCTTTTTCTAAAAAGGCAGGGTTGACCATCCGTGTTATTGAAAGCATGAGAAGGTCCGGGACAGAGAGGACTGACTCCACTGAGATGGACAGTGGGGACTGGGGAGCCACGGAGAGCAAAGGCCGGGCTTTGGTGGGGAGTGGGTCTTGTGGCCCGCAGGAGAAGGGGAGGTGGTGGGGAGGAACAGGCAGGAGGCGCTAGATTAACCGCTTGTTGGCTTAGGTTCCAGTGACTTTTGTCGACATTGCTGTGTACTTCTCCGAAGACGAGTGGAAGAACTTGGACGAATGGCAGAAGGAGCTTTATAACAACCTTGTTAAGGAGAACTACAAAACCCTCATGTCCCTGGGTAAGGACACCTTCTCTCCTCTTTGGTGAGCCATCTCTGCAGAGGGTTGTGAAATGCTTATTTGTCCACGTTAGCACCGCCTAGGCAGGTTGTTTCATATTTTTATGTAATGGAAACTCAGGAAACCATTTGCTTATAATGCTAGTAGGATAGAACAGTTTACAATAGGATAAAAATTTAAAACCCAGTAACAGGGCCCATTACCATAGAACTCAACGTTACACCACTACCACGTTGGATTACAGTAAAACAGCACCATTCGCACCTCACCACGCACCACATCCCAGCAGCCCGCGGTAAGCCATAGCTGGTCTGATGTTGGCTTTCAGAGACCAGCTCTTCCTACAGTAGAAATTTGGGCATCTATCGACTCGTTTTCAGATTACCCGCCTAACTCGCATAACTGCTGCCAAAGAGGGACACCCAGGAGGAGAGGGGGAGATGGGGTAGGGGAGAGTTCTCCCTTCCCCTTGCTGGATGCGTTGGTCAACTTCACTCAGCCTTTCCCTCCCTCCTCCTCACTTCCAGACGCGGAGGGCTCAGTCCCCAAGCCAGATGCTCCAGTCCAGGCTGAGCCCAGGGAAGAACCTTGTGTGTGGGAGCAGCGCCACCCCGAAGAGAGAGAAATCCCAATGGATCCCGAAGCAGGTGATGGCAGCAGAAGAGAGTGCGGGGTCCAGGGAAGGGCGAGAGAGGACAGCCGGCTTTCCGCACACTGCTGCCGCGAGGCGCCACTGTGTGTGCACCATGGGGCGAGGGTCTTGGGTGGCTCCCAGGGGCCAGTTCTGCCAGAGTCGAAATTTGGTGGTCACTTATAGGAAGAGATCTCAGGGCTCAAAATAGCACCCTGGATATTTGTGGTGTGGTTTGTTAAAGCCGCGTAGCTCTGGACTCTCAAGTAAGCTGGGTGGAGAGACGAGGAAGGGCTTAGGCTTACGCTACCGCCCCAGGCCCGGGCTCAGAGAGGCTGACAGAGGAGGGAAAAAGGAGTCTGCGGCGCATGTGGGGTTTCGCCCCGGCCCGTCGCTTATTGCTTGGCCTAATGTACAGCGTCATCACCTCATTCGTCGGCCGACACATGCGGCTCACCTGCAGGCTCGCCCTGCAAGCCGCTTGCCTCACTCAAGAAGGAATCTTAAGCCTGAGGAAATCGGGCCCCCCGAGCACATCACACTTGATGAGCTCTTGCTGGGGTGGAAAGGGTGGAAGGCCCTAGGGTTCTAGGCCTGCCTCTGCCTTGGAAATCTTTCCTCAGGGTCAGCTTTCCTGAGCATTGTTGGATTAGGTGAAATCTGGTGCTCAAACTGTGTTCTCTACCTCATTGGAGGAACTTTTGCCTGTCTGGGCCCTCTGTCCTCCCTTGTTTTTTTGTTTTTTGTTTCTTTGAGACAGAGTCTCATTCTGTGGTTCAGGCTGGAATGCAGCGGTGCAATCTCAGCTCACTGCAACCTCCGTCTCCCAGATTCAAGTCTGCAACCTCAGCCTCACTGCAACCTCAGCCTCCCGAGTAGCTGGGACTACAGGCATACACCACTGCGCCCAGCTAATTTTTGTATTTTTAGTAGGGACAGGGTTTCACCATGTTGGCCAGGCTGGTCTTGAACTCCTGACCTCAAGTGATCCACCCGCCTCGGCCTCCCAAAGTGCTAGGATTACAGGCGTGAGCCACCATGCCCGGCCGTGTCCTCCGTTGTTTTTAAGTGGAGAACATTTTCCTGAAACTCATCTTAGAATGCAGCTCTCAAGGCCACACTCTCTCCTCCTCCCATTCCCAGTCTTTCCTTTTTTTGAGATGTGATTTACAGACCATAACATTTACTGTTTTAAAGAATGCAATTCAGTGGCTCACAAAGTCATGCAACCAAAATCATTATCTAATTCCAGAACATTTCTACCATAAGAAACCCCACACCCGGCAGGGCACGGTGGCTCACGCCTGTAATCCTAGCACTTTGGGAGGCCGAGGTGGGCGGATTAGCTGAGGTCAGGAGTTCAAGACCATCCTGGCCAACAAGGAGAAACCCCGTCCCTACTAAAAAATACAAAAAATTAGCCGGGTGCAGTGGCGTGCACCTGTAATTCCAGCTACTCGGGAGGCTGAGGCAGGAGAATCGCTGGAACCCGGGAGGTGGAGGTTGCAGTGAGCCAAGATTGTGTCACCGCACTCCAGCCTGGGCTACAGAGGGAGACTTCATCTCAAAAAAAAAAAAAGAGGGCCGGGCGCGGTGGCTCACGCCTGTAATCCCAGCACTTTGAAAGGCCGAGGAGGGCGAATCATGAGGTCAGGAGATCGAGAGCATCCTGGCTAACACGGTGAAACCGTGTCTCTACTAAAAACACAAAAAATTAGCCGGGCGTGGTGGCGGGCGCCTGTAGTCAGTCCCAGCTACTCGGGAGGCTGAGGCAGGAGGATGGCGTGAACCCGGGAGGCGGAGCTTGCAGTGAGCCGAGATTGTGCCACTGCACTCCAGCCTGGGAGACAGATTCCGTCTCAAAAAAAAAAAAGAAACCCCACACCCACAAGCAGTCCTTCCCTGCTCTCTTTTACCACCCCCCGCCCCTGGGAACCACTAATCGACTGTCCATATCTATGAATTTGCCTGTCCTGGGCATTTCCTCTAAATGGCTCCTTCCCTGTCTTCATCAAGGACTGCAGAAGTTTAAGGTCAGCAGCGGTAGTAACAGCACCTAGTCTTATGGGGTAGATTTTTACATTTGAAGCACTGTAATCTCAACAGTTTCAGTTGGTTATCAAACCATCACTGAGCATGAGATAGAACAGGGATCACTGTGTCCTTTTTGTAGATGAAAAGGGTAGACCGGAACCCAGAGAGGCTAAATGACTCATCCACTGAGTTGGTGCGGAGTTGAAGGCAGGATCCCAGTCTTCAGATTCTTTGTCTTCTCTCTTTCCTGGTGCCTGAGCCTCCTCTTGCAGCAGGGGGCGCCATCAGAAGAAAAGGCCCTGTTTGTTGCATGCTGGGCTTCTGTGTAGAGGCTATGTCCTTGTCTTTTATGCACAGTGAGTCCTCACTTAATGTCATTGATAGGGTCTCGGAAACTGTGGCTTTAAAGTGACATATAACACAACCAATTTTTCTTTCTCATCAATGTTATAACTAAACATCATAGAAGGAAATGATGTTATTTGAGGATCTGCTATGTGTCATTTCACTTGAACTCACTGTTTCCAAGAACCTGCTGACGACAGTGAGACTGGCTGTATAAGGAGGTTCTGCACTATCTGTCCAACAATAGAGCTTAGTTGTGCCTTTTTGCCCATCCCCGCTTCTCACAAATCATATATATACACGTGTGTGTGCATCTGGCCTCAACCTGGCCAGCTCTTTCTGACTGGGGTGACTAACAAGGACTAATGACTCCCACAGAGAGGTCCAACTTGTGGCCCAGTCCTGATTAGGACCCAGCCAGTTACACAGCTCTAGGTTGTTTCTGAATTCTCTCTTCAGTGTCATCACCCCTCATTTTGCTGCTTGCCTAGCCCTTTTTCTTGAATGTTGGCTTCCTCTCTGCTCCTGAGACCTTCTGCTCCTCAGGGTCCCCCATGGTTCCAATAGGAACCCGAGACCCCTGTCTTCTCCCCTGGCAAGTGCTGTCAGCCATGCTTCTGAGCCCAGAATGTCCTGGTGACCAGCATGCAGAAAAAAAGACACAAAGCAATGTCATTCTCTGTTCCCAGGAGCAGAGCTCCTGGTGCCTGCAGAAAAAAAGACACAAAGCAATGTCATTCTCTGTCCCCAGGAGCAGAGCCCCTGGTGCCTGCGCAGGATGCGTCCTCCCAGGTGAAGCGTGAGGACACCCTGTGTGTCCGGGGTCAGCGGGGCCTGGAGGAAAGAGCCATCCCTACGGAATCCATTACCGGTGAGTGAGCCAAGCAGCCGTCCACACCAGGGAGGGGAGGGGAGGGGAGAGGGTTAGCATGGTCTGCCAGCCCCCAGAGTTAGCTGTCACATGTGCCAGGCCAGAGGGCTGAGCTCGAAATGGAAGGGCTGTGCATCCAGGGCTGGGCTGAGCCAGGATTCCTCCAGGAGACACAGACGTGGCAAACAGCATTGACAATTTGCTGGTACACCTGGGCTCAGCGTGTTCTGTTTCCTCTCTTCCTCATATTATCCGTTTGTAACTATTCCATCTTCCCCTTTAGAAACAATATCCTGGCAGAAGTACTAAGTGTAAGGCTTCATGGGTGGGGGAACAGGGAGGTCAGGAAGACCTGTTGTGCCCTGACCAGGAAGGCCTTTCATTGTTTTAAACAAGTATTTATGGGCTGCTACCTCTGTGCCAGGCACCTACATACCTGCGGTCCTGTGAGGGACCTCCTCTTAGCTGGCATTGCAGCTGGACTCTGTCGTAGGTGAGAGCTCTGTTATAGCAGATGTATGTATCAATCAGAGTTCTCCAGAGAAACAGGACCTGTAAGGGTGTGTGTGGAAAAGAGAGATTTATTTTATTTTAAGGAATTGGCTTGTGATTGTGGAGGCCGGCAAGTCCAAAATTTACAGGGCAGGCCAGCAGGTTAGAGCCCCAGGGAATTGCTGATGTGGCTGCTGGAGCCTGCAGGCAGAATTCCCTTTTCCTTGGGGGAGGCCAGTCTTTTCCCTTAGGCCTTCAGCTGGTTGATGAGGCCCGCCCACATCATAGAGGGCAATCTGCTTGACTCAAGTCTACTGACTTACATGTTCAAATCTCATCTAAAAATATACCTTCATAGAAACAGCTAAATAATGTTTGACCAAATATCTGGGTACCGTGGCCGAGCCAAGTTGACACATAAAATCAACAATCATGAGACATATTAACATACTGTAGCCCTTTACTTATCCACAGGTTAGAGCTCCACAAACCTCATCCCCCCCTTAGTCAGAGCCTCACACCCATAGGTAAGTGCTCATAGTGTCTGGGTAGAGGAAAGCCCGTTCACTTGTCATCAGGCATGACCCTTGAAAGCATCACAGTATTAGGATCTTTAAGGAGATCTTTAAGAGATAAGAAGGCAATAAGGTGTAAATTAGGTTTCAGAGACTCTGTAGAAGAAAGAGAGTATAGGGTCTTTTTCTTACATCTTAGAAAAATCCCATTCAAAAGATTTAAAGGCTTCTTGTAACATTACTTTATACCCCATAAATATATACAACTATAATTTGTCAATATATAATTTAAAAAAAGAGGCTTTCTGGAAGTTTTCATCTTTCCAGAGGAAATACCTCTTTCTGTGGTGGTCTCAGCACCAGAATGGGAACCTCATTCTAAGGAGATTTAAGTTCCTGCAGCACAGAAAGGCTCTTTCTTAAAGACTGTAATGTTACTCCCCTGCAGCATCCTCTTATTTGCAGCAAAAGCTCCGTTAATTGGGGCCAAGCTGACTTCAACCTTTAGTTAATGAGACTTATGTAATTGTACCTGATGTTTAGGGGAAAGAGATAATTGCATGAAATCAGAGATTTACTCAAAACACAAACTTGCAGGAGATTTCGCATCTTCTAACACCTTTGCCGCTCTTGTTCCCGCAAGTAGACTCCCCAATTTCTGCCCAGGACCTCTTGTCCCGGATTAAACAGGAGGAGCATCAGTGCGTGTGGGATCAGCAGGATTTGGCAGACAGAGATATTCCCACGGATCCCAATTCAGGTGAGAACAAGGTCAGAATGAATCTTGAGGGCAACAAGTGTTTTTCAAAAGGAATCATTAAATTAATAATTTATTGTGTTTATGCAGCTGATACTAAAATTACTTCAGCACTGATTTTTTGTTCTTTGAGACGGAGTCTTGCTCTGTTGTTCAGGCTGGAGTGCAGTGGTGTGATCTCAGCTCACCGCAACCTCCGTTTCCCGGGTTTAAGCGATTCTCCTGCCTCAGCCTCCTGAGTAGCTGAGATTACAGGCATGTGCCACCACACCTGGCTCATTTTTTGTATTTTTAGTAGAGATGGGGTTTCACCATGTTGGTCAGGCTGCTTCTGAACTCCTGGCCTCAAATGATCTGCCCGCCTCAGCCTCCCAAAGTGCTGGGATTACGGGCATGAGCCACCGCGTCCGGCCATTCAGCACTGATTTTTGAACAATAAAAACAACCAAAAAGCATCTAAAAGCTGCATATATTTCTGTGTCAGAAAATTATTTACATTTTCTGGAATTTCTCTTGAGTGAATACTAGTTAGAAGTTTCCCAAGAAACTTGTAGGGAGGGTCTAGGCATTCAGGGAGGCATAAAAGAACAATGGAAGCCCCACCTGCCCACGACCTATGTGTGTGTCCATGTGATTGCAGAGCTGAGAAGTCCAGTGTCATTGCCTGGTAGTTAGGACACAAGTCTCATCCTACCCACCATACCAGGGAGAGAGGATGAGAAGTTGAATCTAGGATTCCTTGTACTTTGTCAACTTCACCACAGAGAAATTGAGGGGACCCAGGGCAGAGGGAAAGCGGGGCCTTCCTGCTTCACTGTGGTTCTTATCAATGACCTCTGGTTGCAGCCTCTGCCATCGCTGGTTTCTAAATCATACCTGTTAGCCATGGCCCTGAGGGCCGTTATCTGGGGCTTTCTTCTGGCCTGTCCTGGCCCCATGGGTTCCTCTGGGGCTAAGTGGCAGAGCTGGGAGATCTGGGTTTTAATCCCGGCCCTGCCACTGCACAGACCTTGGGCTAAGCCTCCTTCTGGCCAACTTGAAATGCATCGAGCAGTGAGAGTCCATTTAGGAAGGGGCTTATGAGGGTAAGGAGGATGGCCTGGAAATGCAACACCGATACCAAAACATGCCCTGCAGGTTGCAGCCACCGCATGGGATGGTTTTCAAACCTTTGATGGGAGGCCGAGTAGAACTGAACAAAATCTAAGACTGCCTTCTTTCCATGACAACAGAGTCTCTCATCTCAGCACATGACATTTTGTCATGGATCAAGCAGGAGGAGCAGCCATACCCATGGGGACCACGCGACTCAATGGACGGAGAGCTTGGATTAGACTCTGGCCCTAGTGAGTAACGTCCCCACCTAGACCCTGGGGTTTCTTCTCTGGAGCTGTACAGCTGAGGCGTGGACGAAGGCTGGTCCTCTTCTCAGCTCACCCCTCGTAGGGTGATGTTCTGTTGATGGCAGCGTTTCAAAGTTCTGCACCAAAGCACTCCCATTCTTTTTGGAGTGTGATATTGTATTAGCTCCCCAGGACTGTCATAACAGGGTACCACAGGCTGGGCAGCTTCAACAATAGAAATTTATTCTCTCACAGTTCCACAGGTTGAAAGTCCAAAATCAAGGGGTGGGCTGGGCCTTGCTCCAGACTTCCTCTGAAGTCTGTATGGGATTCCTCCCTCGCCTCTCCCAGCTTCTGCTGGGTGCCAGGAACCTCTGGCACTCCTTGGCTTGTAGATGCGTTGCTGCAAGCCTCTGTTGTCACATGGTGTTCCCTTGTGTCTGTCCTCACATGCCATCTTATAAAGACACCAGTCATATTGGATCAGGGCCTCCCTACTCTAGTATGACCTCATCTTAACTAACTACATCTGCAATGACCCCGTTTCCAAATAAGGTCACATTCTGAAGTCCTGGGGGTTAGGACTTCAACATATTTGGTGGGGAGGGGGGAAGGCACAATTTAACCCTTTATGGCAGGGAGGGGAGGAAGGGAGAGGGGCCGGGAGATTGCTGAGCCAGTGTGCCCGAGGCAGTTGACAGCAGCAGGTGGCTCACATGCTGGAAGACACTAGCCAGGCTGCACACGGTGGCTCACACCCATGATCCCAGCACTTTGGGAGGCTGAGGTGGAAGGATCTCTTGAGCTCAGGAGTTTGAAACTAGCCTGGGTAACATAGTGAGACCCACAGGGTCTACAAAAAAATTAACAAATTAGCCAGGCGTGGTGACTTATGCCTGTGGTCCCAGCTACTCTGGAGGCTGAGGTGAGAGGATCGCTTGAGCCTGGGAGGTCATGGCTGCAATGAGCCATGCTTGCACCACTGCACTCCAGCCTGGGCGAGAGCGAGATCCTGTCTCAAAAAAACCTGAAAGAAAAAACAAAAAACACTAGAAGTACCCCAGGCATCCCTGAGCTACCATCCCGGAGTCACTGATGAACACACTGAAGCTCAAAGAGAAAGGGAGGATTGTTTTCCCAACAGGTATGGAACCAAATGTCTCACCAGACTTGGGTCTCTTGGGTCTTTCTGAAGCTCCCTTATTGACCTATGACCCTAGGCATATGTTTATGGATTGTTGAACATTCTTAGCTCAGGCTAATATTCCTCGCTAAAACCCAGTACCATCCCCTTGCCCTCAACATGGCTGACCTAGTGTCTTCTGGCTGGTCAAAGGCTTAACAGAATAGCTGCATGTGTGTTCCCTGTCCATATTTCCTGACATTTTTTTTTTTTTTTTTTTTTTTTTGAGACAGAGTCTCACTCTGCCGCCCAGGCTGGAGCGCAGTGGTGCGATCTAGGCTTACCACAACCTCCGCCTTCTGGGTTCCAGCAATTCTTCCACCTCAGCCTCCCGAGTAGCTGGGATTACAGGTGTGTGCCACCATGCCTGGCTAATTTTTGAATTTTTAGTAGAGACGAGGTTGCACCATGTTGGCCAGGCTGGTCTCGAACTCCTGACCTCAGGTGATCTGCCCACCTTGGCCTCTCAAAGTGCTGGGATTACAGGCATGAGCCATAGTGCCCAGTGCTGACATCTTGAAGGAGCTTAAACTTCACGTAAGAGCGGAGGACATGGGTTGTTTCTGGTTCTGAACAGCCATTTCAAACTCAGGCAAGCGGATCACACTCTCTATAAGACAACTTAGTTCTAGAAGAGCCAGTGTGGGCCTGGAGGAATTGGCAGGAACGAGATAGGAACAATGTATGTCCTTATTTCAAGTAGAATTGAAAGCGGTCCTCTTTGTAACTGCTGGCTTGGTGGGATGAGATGGGGGAAGCCAGGAAACTGGTGGTGAGCACCGGAAGAAAGCCAACTCCATCTCTTCCTCCACAGCTGGTAGGCTACCATTGCTAGCCCTGGCCCGAAGGCATAGGAACTAGTGCATCTGACCTGGGGCCAGGAAATTCTGCCCAAACCCTTCCTTATCCCTCAATGCTGTCTTCTGATTCTTCCCAGTTGGCTAGGAGCATGTGGGCCTAGAGGAGCCTGTTCTTGGGGACTTGTGCTGTGTGGAAAGCAGTCTAGGAAGGCCCATAGAGAACTTGCAAGGATTTGCAAAGGACCCCACCATTTTCCTACTTAAGTTTGGATATCATAGAATGATTTGCCTCATGTTGTTTTATCTTTTTTTTGTTTGTTTAAAGACAGGGTCTCACTCTGCCGCTCAGGCTGGAGTGCAGTGGTGTGATCCTGGCTCACTGCAGCCTCCATCTCCTAGGTTCAAGTGATGCTCCTGCCTCAGCCTCCCAAATAGCTGGGACTACAGGCATGCACCACTGTGCCTCAGTAATTTTTTAAAATGTTTTGTAGAGATAGGGTCTTGCTATATTACCCACGCTGGTCTGAACTTCTGGCCTCAAGCAATCCTCCCACCTGGGCCTCCCAAAGCTCTGGGATTACAGGCAGGAGCCACCAGGCCCAGCCCGTTATTTTATATTTGAAGGACCTTTGAACCCTAGCATTTGGGAGGAAATGCACAGAATTTAGGAGATAGGAGTATCTGGAAATGGTTCTCTTGCCTGCCAAGTCACGACAGCCTCTTATCAGAACCTCTGTTCTTTCTCCCAAAGTGAGCCTGCTTCCTATTTATCAGTGTTGGAATTTGACACTGGCCTGTCATCTGTGGTTTCTTTGATGTTTAAAACCAACCTAGTATTGTGGTTGCCAGGGACAGCCAGATGGTAGCCATGCTATTATGTGGAAGAGTCTTCTGGAAAGGGGATGGAGGGGAGAAGAGTCAGGGTAGAGAACACAGTGCAGACACGGGATACCTGTCCTTGCCAACTTCCTTCTCCAGCCCTGGGATATGTAAGAGGGAAATAACTGGTATCCGTTTGACTCAAAGGCAGACCTCAACCCAATTGGATATTACATTCTTGTAAAAGGGACTCCTGAATTTATTTATTAATGAGTGTATACTGAGTCTCGCTCTCAGCATGTTAGTGTAAGACAAGAAGAAGATTCAGTTTGCCCAAAGTTAATGTACATCAGTGCCTCCACTGAAGCAGGAAGCGTAGCTAGGACTCTGGAGTGCAGTGGCTAAAAGGTGCTTCCGGAGTGAGAGGTGGTAAAGATCCTGAAGCTGGGCCACCATTCCCAGGTGCCAACACCCACAGAATATGACGTGAAAGCACCCTCTTGAAATTCCCACATTATTCACTACATTGGGTTAAAACAGTGGTTCCAACCTTTCATAGTTTATATTTTTTTTAGCAGGTATTTACTTAATGCCTGCTATGTGTTACACAGTATTGTAAGCACTTAGAATAAGCAGTGAAGGGCCAGGTGTGGTAGCTCAGGCCTGTAATCCCGGCACTTTGGGAGGCCAAGGCAGTTGGATCACCTGAGGTCAGGAGTTCCAGACCAGCCTGGCCAACATGGTGAAACTCCGTCTCTACTAAAAATACAAAAAACAAACAAACAAACAAACAAAAAACAACTAGCCAGGAGTGGTGGTGGGCACCTGTAACTCCAGCTACTTGGGAGGCTAAGGCAGGAGAATTGCTTGAATCCGGGAGGCGGAGGTTGCAGTGAGCCAAGATTGCGCCCCTGCACTACAGCCTGGGTGGCAGAGTAAGGCTCTGTCTCAAAAAAAAAAATTGGGAGTGAAGAAAGACCTTTTCTTTTGTGGGAAGAGGATGAATAAGCAGGCCAGCAAGCAGGCAAGGTAAAGCCAGGATGCAGCAATGCTCTGAGAACAATGGCAGGGAGAACAGGAAGGAGTGTGGACATGAGGCAGAGCAAAGACAGAGTGGTCAGGAAAGGCCTCCGAGGGGAAGCGGTGCCTGACTGAGTGTGCCCTTGGCAGTGGGAAGGAGCCGGCCGTGGGGTTGCAGGGGGAAGAGAAGACCAAGAAGAGGGAAGTGAAGGCAGGGCCATGGAGGCTTTGGGGAGGAGGATGGAGCCGTAGACTGAGGCACCTGAGCATGTATGACCTATGGGCCAAGTTAGAGTTTGGATTTTATTCTTACAAGAAAGGAGACTAGGCCGGGTGTCATGGCGGGCACCTGTAATCCCAGCTGCTCGGGAGGCTGAGGCATGAGAATCCCTTGAACCCAGGAGGTGAAAGTTGCAGTGAGATCATGCCACTGCACTCCAGCCTGGGTAACAAAGCGAGACCCTGTCTCAGAAAAAAAAAAAAAAAAGAGAGAGAGAGAGACTAATAAAGGGTATGAAATCGGACATGATCTGGTTTACGTTTTTATAGGATTTCAGGAGTGGATTGGCGGGGGGTGCGGAGCCATGTCTGAGGCTCATGCATTTGATGCAGACCAAGTGGAGAGATGCTGGTGGTCAGAGCTGGGGTAGCAGCAGTGCACAGGGAGAGAAAGGACAGATTCAGATGCACTTTGAGAGTGTCACTCATGGGTTGCCTGTGGGGGCTGTGGAATCAAGACTGACTCCTGGGTCTGGGTCCTACAGAAGTGGGTGAATGGTAGTACTGTTTGCTGAAGTGCCAAGCCCTGGAAAAGAACCTGTGTTGCTGGTTCTAGTTTGGAGTCAAGAGTTCTAGTTTGGACCTATTAAAATTTGAGGTGACACTCAAGTAGCAGATCAAGTAGGTGAATATAGGAGTCTGAAGTTCAAGAGAGAGCTTGGGGATAGACTGATTTGGGAGTTACAGGTTGCAGTGACTTCCAACATCAGCGACCTGTAATTGGCCAAACCTCACAGGTTGAGGGCTCATGCCTCCACAGGACCGTTCTCTCTTCAGACACCAGCTGCAAATTTGGGGGTTCTAGGCCACCCTCACTTCTGACCAGCTGGCTACAAATTCTGGGCTTCCCATCACCCCGTCATAATTTGCTAGAATGACTCATAGAACTCAGGAAAGTGCTATATATATCATTACAGTTTTATCACAGCAAAAGGATTCAAATCAGAGCTAGCCAAAAGGAGATCCATAAGGCTAGGTCTGGGATGGTCCTAAGCCTGAAATTTCCATTGTTCCCTCCCTGTGGAGTCAGGATGTGTCACCCTCCCAGCATGTCAACGTGTGAAAATATGCAGAGCATTGCCAACCAGGGAAGTTCGCTGAGCTTTGGCGTTCCGAGTTTCTGTTGGGGCTTCTTTATATAGATATGATTGATTGAATCATTAGCCACGAGGTTCAGCTCAGTCTCCAGCCCCTTTCCCTCCCTGGAGGTTGGGCCTCAAACCCTAAACCTTTAGTCACGTGCTTGGTCTTTTCAGCATGGCAGCCCCATCCTTTGTCATCTCCTTAGCTTAAACTCTCTAAGATCCCACCATGAATAACAAAGGCACCCCTGTCACTCGGGAAATCCAGAGATTTAGAGGCTCCTTCCCAGGAACCAGGGACAAAGGCCAGTCAAGTTATTACACTTAGGTTGTTCAGGACTATATGAGTTCTAGGGACAGTGTAAACAAAGAATTAAAGAGATCTTAGCTCTGAGCATGGCAGAAAACCAGAGGGGCAAGGTGTTACAGAGGCTGGGAGAAGAGAATCTCTTGGGGAGGGTTAACTATGTCAGACACCCATGAGTGGTTGCATATGCAGGACAGGGAAGAGCCTGGGGGATTTGACAGGTTGGATATTGTTGGTGATCTCGGCAAAAGTTTTTCAATGGAGGTTGGGTGTGGTGGCTCACACCTGTAATCTCAGCACTTTGGGAGGCCGAGGCAGGTGGATCATTTGAGGTCGGGAGTTCGAGACCAGCCTGGCCAACATGGAGAGACCCTGTCTCTACTAAAAATACAAAAATTAGCCAGGCATGGTGGCAGGCATCTGTAATCCCAGCTACTTGGGAGGCTGAGGCAAGAGAATCGCTTGAACCTGGGAGGTGGAGGTTGCAGTGAGCAGAGATTGTGTCACTGCACTCCAGCCTGGGCAACAGAGCAAGACTTGGTCTCAAAAACGAAAAAGTTTTTCAGTGGAATGGCAAGGGTGCATGCCTGATTGGAATCATCTAAAAAGAATGGGAGGTGAAGAAGTGGTAAGGGCAAGTGCAGTGACTCTTGATGAGTCTTACTATGAAAAGGAACAGAAATGACATGTGAGGAGCTGGGGCACGGGCCACATGGGCCTAGGGAGGGGGTTCTTTTAAGGTCGGAGATAACTAGACCATTGTCTCGGGTCAGATGCTCCCAACTACTTTAGAACCCTGATTCAAACTGCCTTAAAGAATAAAGAAGCCGGGCACGGTGGCTCACGCCTGTAATCCCAGCACTTTGAGAGGCCGAGACGGGCGGATCCTGAGGTCAGGAGATCGAGACCATCCTGGCTAACACGGTGAAACCCCGTCTCTACTAAAAATACAAAAAAATTAGCCTGGCGTAGTCGTGGTGGGCGCCTGTAGTCCCAGCTACTCGGGAGGCTGAGGCAGGAGAATGGCGTGAACCCAGGAGGCGGAGCTTGCAGCGAGCTGAGATCGCGCCACTGCACTCCAGCCTGCGCAACTGAGCCAGACTCCGTCTCCAAAAGAAAAAAAAAGAATAAAGAAATTTCTTCTCTTACGTAACTGGAAGTCCTAAGGTAGGTCAGGTTCAGGCTTAGTTGATTCAAAGACTCAGCATGTTTTCAAGGACCCAGGTTCTTTCCAATTCCTTGCCTGACCATCCTCGGTGTGGCTTCATCCCCAGGCTGGTAGCACAGCAGCTGCAGCTGTCCCAAGCGTCGCATCCAGACATGAGTGTACAGGAAAGCCCATCTTTTCCTGCACACTCTAAGGAATGAGGAAATCTTTCCAGAAGCCTCCCAGCAAACTTCCCATACCCTACTGACCATAACTAGGTTACATGCTTGCATGTGAATCACTTACCAGCCAGTGACTGGAAAGGAAAAGCCCTCAGGGCCATGCATGGGTTGGGGGGGAGGGGCGTAGGATAGAGGAGGAAGGATGACGTAATCATTCCAGAGTGGAAAAGTAAAACCCACTAGAGACGTGGGCCAGGATGCCAGGCTGTGTGGAGGCCCCTGGAGGGTTTTTTTTTTTTTTTTTTTTGAGATAAGGTTTCACTCTGTCACCCAGGCTGGAGTACAGTGGCGCGATCACGGCTCACCGCAGCCTCGACCTCTCAGGTTTAAATAATCCTCTCGCATCAGTCTTCTGAGTAGCTGGGACCACAGGCGTGTGTCACAGTACCTAATTTTTAAATGTTTTTTTGTAGAGATGGGGTCTCCCTAGGTTGCCTAGGCTGGTCTCAAACTCCTGGGCTCAAGCAATCCTTCTGCCTTGGCCTCCCAATGTGCCGGGATTACAGGCATGAGCCACAGTGCCTGGCCAGCTTGTGCAGTTTTTCAGCTGCCTGAGTGCAGTCACAGGACTGGAGTTCTCCAGGCAAGCACAACGGCGGAGCAAAGGCAATCACCGTGCCCTTGCAAGTGCCTGGGCTGCCGGGCCTGGAGAGCCAAGTTGGGTCAGGAAGGCAGAAAAAGGTTGGAGGTGGAGGGCATAGCGGGATGGTGAGAACGTGGATTGAGGTTCACACTGGGTTGGAAGACGGTCAGAGTAGGACTGCCTTAGGTGGGCTTCCCGGGAGACAGCCCCTGGGAGTTTATGTGCATATAGTTTCTTTGCAAGTCCTCTGGGAATAACACCTGGGAAGGAGTGAGAGTAGCAGGACTGGGTAGACAGAGAAGCAAACACCCTCAGTGCCGTGGCCACAGAGGCCACAGCGATCTCCCGGGATTCTCTGGAGCTGGGATGACCCTTCCCAGGCATCCTGCACTGATGTGAAGAGAATTCTTTTGGCCTCTGCACCTGGCCAGTGTCCTGCAGAGATGGTTCTCTGCCAGGCCAATTTTGATTGAGACAGAGAGGGAGGGCAGGCCCAGTCTATTTAAGAGTATCATATAAGGACAGACCTCAGTCAAACACCAACGAATATAGGAGGGCTGGGTGGAAACATGGCAGATGTGGCCTGGGAAGTGGCCTCCGGGGAGCAGTTGGGTCCTAGGCAGAGGGGTGTGAGCACGGAGAAAAGGATGCTGAGAAGAGGTGGGAGGCCGTCTCTTTCTTCAGAGCTCTTCCACAGGCTTCCCCTAAATTGGGGAGCAGGACTCCTCTAGGGAGAAAGGAATTCAAACTGAAGACCAGGGAGGTGATGGAGCGTGAGGCATGAGAACCACTGGGCTGGGGGACAGGGTGGGTGGGAGGGGGAAGGACTGGGCCTGACGTCACCATTCTGATGCTCAGAGCCTGGGCTTTGTCTCCCACTGCCCCCCAAGGTGGTGGAGAACTGTGCACTTGGAGGAAAGGGGGCAAGAACCGCATTTCCTGGGGTGGTAGGTTGGGTGGCCACTGCCACGAGTGCAAGGAGGGCCTGTTATGGTGCTGCCAAGGTCCAGGTGGGTCAGGTGCCAGGGTGGGACTCACATGTCCCAGCTGCCCACACCTGCCCAAGTCAGATGCCCCACATGCTTAGTGGAAACATGACTGCCAACCCATCTGATGCTTATGTTTCCAGCTCCCTGCATTCCATTCCTGTGGGCCTCTAGATGGTTTTCACCTTGGATAAAATTCTTTTCTTCCTATTGAGAGACTGTCCTGAGATAAAAGTGAGCATTGTCAGTGTGTGTGCTGGCTCACATCTGTAATCCCAGCACTTTGGGAGGCCAAGGTGGGAGGATTGCTTGATCCCAGGAGTTGGAGACCAGCCTGGGCAACATAGTGAGACCCTGTCTCAACAAAAATTTATTTTTTATTTTTTATTTTTATTTATTTATTTTTTGAGTCAGAGTCTCGCTCTGTCGCCAGGCTGGAGTGCAGTGGCAGGATCTCAGCTCACTGCAACCTCCGCCTCCCAGGTTCAAGTGATTCTCCTGCCTCAGCCTCCCAAGTAGCTGGGACTACAGGTGCGTGCCACCATGCCCAGCTAATTTTCGTATTTTTAGTAGAGATGGGGTTTCACTATGTTGGGCAGGATGGTCTCGATCTCTTGACCTCGTGATCCACCCACCTCGGCCTCCCATAGTGCTGGGATTACAGGCGTGAGCCACTGCGCCTGGCCTTTTTAAATTGTATTTTATTTATTTACTTTTTTGAGAGACAGAGTTTCGCTCTTGTTGCCCAGGCTGGATGCCTGGGCCAGTGCAATGGCAAGATCTCAGCTCACTGCAACCTCTGCCTCCCCGGTTCAAGTGATTCTCCTGCCTCAGCCTCCTGAGTAGCTGGGATTACATGCATGGGCCACCACTCCCGGCTAATTTTGTATTTTTAGTAGAGACGGGGTTTTTCCATGTTGGTCAGGCTGGTCTCCAACTCCTGAACTAAGGTGATCCGCCCACCTCGGTCTCCCAAAATGCTGGGATTACAGGCGTGAGCCACTGCGACCGGCCGAAAAGATTTGTTTTTTTTTTTTAATTAGCTGGGCCTGGTGGCGCATGCTTATGGTCCCAGCTACTTGGCAGGCTGAGGTGGGAGGATCACTTGAGCCCAGGAAGTCAAGGCTGCAGTGAGCCATGATCTCACCAGTGCACTACAGCCTGGGAGACAGAGCCAGACCCTGTCTGGAAAAACAAACAAACAAAAAACATTGTCCATCAGACTGCAAGTAAGTCTTGTTGTTTCTGGGAAATTCTGCCTTCCAAAATGACTTCTGGACAGCAGGTCCCCTACCCCTTAGCCCTCAGCGTTCTGGAGGGACTTCCTGTCCTTGCTGCGTGCCACCTGCTTGACCCGTTTCTGGGCTCCACAGCAGGGTGGCTTCGAACAGGTCGAAGGGCCACGTAGATCGTGGCCCAGCACCTTGTGCAATCCCTCGTAGTTAGTGGAACTGAGGCTCAGATAGCATGCTCCCTGGGCCCCCCTTCGGGAGCAGTGTGGGGTCCTGGCCGAGAACCCCTGTCAGCATGTCACTTCTTCCTATCTCCCCAGGTGACAGCCTGCTGATGGTGAAGAACCCACCCCCGGCCCCGCCACAGCCCCAGCCCCAGCCCCAGCCACCGCAGCCGCAGCTGCAGTCGCAGCCCCAGCCCCAGAGCCTGCCCCCCATCGCGGTGGCCGAGAACCCGGGCGGCCCCCCGAGCCGAGGGCTGCTGGACGACGGTTTCCAGGTGCTGCCCGGGGAGCGTGGCTCCGGCGAGGCGCCGCCGGGTGGGGACCGCAGCACCGGGGGCGGCGGGGGCGATGGGGGCGGTGGGGGCGGCGGCGCGGAGGCGGGGACGGGGGCAGGCGGCGGCTGTGGCAGCTGCTGCCCTGGCGGGCTGCGGCGGAGCCTCCTCCTGCACGGCGCCCGCAGCAAGCCCTACTCGTGCCCCGAGTGCGGCAAGAGCTTCGGCGTGCGCAAGAGCCTCATCATCCACCACCGCAGCCACACCAAGGAGCGGCCCTACGAGTGCGCTGAGTGCGAGAAGAGCTTCAACTGCCACTCGGGCCTCATCCGCCACCAGATGACGCACCGCGGCGAGCGGCCCTACAAGTGCTCGGAGTGCGAGAAGACCTACAGCCGTAAGGAGCACCTGCAGAACCACCAGCGGCTGCACACGGGCGAGCGGCCTTTCCAATGTGCACTGTGCGGCAAGAGCTTCATCCGCAAGCAGAACCTGCTCAAGCACCAGCGCATCCACACGGGCGAGCGCCCCTACACGTGCGGCGAGTGCGGCAAGAGCTTCCGCTACAAGGAGTCGCTCAAGGACCACCTGCGCGTGCACAGCGGCGGCCCGGGCCCCGGCGCCCCACGGCAGCTCCCGCCGCCTCCTGAGCGAGACTAGGGCTGGGCTGGGGGAGGGCAGGGCCGGACGGAGTGGATCGGGGGCGGCCTGAGCACCAACCACCTTGCCGGGTGTCCTCAGCCACCGTCTGGAAATCGGCAACAGGCATTGCACTCCGGTTGGGGGTCCCCCAGGGTGGGGCAGGGATCCCCCAGATCTGTCTGGTCTGAATGGACGCCCAGCTCATCTAGGGTGGACCCAGCTGCTGGGGAAGAGCCAGGGGGACCGCGAGGAGCCGAGCGTCCTCGGGCACCGCCCTCACACCTCCTCGAGTGCCCTGGGACCACTGGGCCACAGATGGTCATCAGGGGAAGCCACCAGGGAGTCCCGAAGCCCTTCTGAGATCAGGAAATCAGGTCCCAAGGTTAGGAGACGCCCTGAAAAAAAGCGAAGGCCGAGGGATGTGCTAAGGGTAACACCTTCATGATGACAACACTGCCTCGCGTTTCAATAGCGCTTTATACTTTTTTAAGTGTTTTCTATCCGTTATCCATTTCACCCTTGGCCTATCCCTCTCAGATAGGTGGGGTAGGATTTTCCTGGTGACCGAGTAAAGTGAGAGGCAGGTGAGACGGTTCACCCAATCACACGGGAAGGGGCGCGCGCTGCCCAACCGCGCTCTCCGCCTACCTCCGCTGCTCGGGAAGCTGCTGGCCTGGCCCTCCTGGTCTCTCTTCCTTTCCTGGTCTCTCTTCCTTTCCTTGCTCTCACCCACGGATAAAACCAGAAGCGACAGGAGGCCAGCTCCTGGGGTTCCTGGGAGCCGGGAACAGATTGGCTACGGAACGCCCCAGGTTGTACATTCAGAGGGCTCTTTCTCCATGGGAGCTCCTGGTGCCGCCTCGGCCCCAGCCTGTCCCCAGCCCCTCAATCTGGTGCAGCAGCATCTTGTCACTGCACAACAGTGGCCTGGTCCCCCACAGGCAGTTAGGGCCCCAGGTCAGACCTCACCATGATGATTTGTTCCAGTTCTCCCAGGGCAGAGGGGCGAGGGAGAGGCTTTTGCTGTGAGAGTAGCCGTCACGTGTCTCTTCCCAGCAGCGCCGGGCAAGTGGGTGCTAGAGTCTGAGCCTCAGGCTCTCCTGCCCTGGGCCTCCCAATTGGTGCTATCTGTTACTGCCCGTGCTCACGGACATGGATACAGACCCTGCTGTGCTCCACACCCTGCAGGCGCCTCGGGAAGCGCCCAAAGGATTCCCCTTCACGTTGGTGCACCTGCTCCATAGCTCCGGGCGCTGCGTCCCGAGGGGCCACAGTCTCCATTTCAGCGTCTTGCATGGCCTGGCACCGGGTGGGGTGGTATGCCCCAGGACCCTTGTTTGTGTCAAAAATGACTTTCCCTGCCCTTGCCGTGGGTCCGGCGTTCCTCCCAGCCGGGATCACAGTGGGCAGCCGGCACCCGGCACCACTTTGGCGAGCGTCCTGCTTCCGCCCTCGCCCTCATCTACGCTGCTCCGCTTTCCTCAGACCCCTTTTTGCCGTGCAAAGGGAATTCTTGACATTAAATAAAAGGTATCCAGATTGCAGACTGCATGTTCACAGAGCTGGGGGTTCTCCAGCTTGCCTACAGTAAAGCCTCAATGAACTGGAATCCAATTCAATGGGGTATTTTTTTTTCTTCATTCTGCTTTTTGAAGGAGACAAATCTTAAGAAAGCAAATTGAGATGAGAAATTAGACAGGGTTCAGTAGAGTTTTGTTAGAGCAGAAGGGGACCCTCCAGTGATCAGTTGCTGGGGGAGGGGGGTAGTGTGCCACTTTTAAAAAGCATATGCACGAAGTATTTTCCTAATCTAGATCATGGAAAGGTCAGAATGTCTTTTGGTTGCAGGAGTGTGAGGAGAGGGGAGACGTCACTTGAGACATGGGTTTAAAACACCTGGCCGGGCGCGGTGGCTCACACCTGTATTCCCAGCACTGGGAGGCCGAGGCGGACGGATCCCGAGGTCAGGAATTTGAGACCAGTCTGACGAAAATGGTGAAATCCCGTCTCTACCAAAAATACAAAAATCAGCCGGGCGTGGTGGCGGGTGTCTGTAATCCCAGCTACTCAGGAGGCTGAGACAGGAGAATCGCTTGAACCCAGGAGGTGGAGATTGCAGTGAGCGGAGATCGCACCACTGCACTCCAGCCAGGGCGACAGAGCGAGACCCCGACTCAAAAACAAAAAAACACCTGAGCACAAGGCTCAGTGTGATCCCTTTATTTTACCTTCAAGGGGCTGATTCCCAAGGAGACCTAGGGACTGAGCTAGTGAGAGCCAAGCCTCTCTGCTTTCCTGTATCCTAGGCTGGTGGATACCACTGCACCAAGTACCCCTCAGCTACACCATGAGTCGCCCCAAGCCCTGGCACAGGTTGCTGGAGCATCCCATAGTGAGCCTCATCCCCAGAGCTGATCGGGGATGGTGACACTCAGGATGTTAGCCTCTGCTGGCTCCCAGGCAGCGAAGATCCTCAGTGAAGACCCTGGAGTCCACATCCTGAAGCAGAACAGGGGTTTTGCTTTGGGGGTGGATTTTTATTTTCCTTCTGAGAAAATGTAGTTTATGTAGAGACAAAGTCTTGCTCTGCCATTCAGGCTGAGTGCAGTGGTGCAATCTTGGCTTACTGCAGCCTTGACCTCTGGAGCTGAAGCAATCCGGTTGGGCGTGGTGGCTCATTCATGTAACCCCAGCACTTTGGGAGGCTGAGGTGGGAGGATTGCTTGAGACCAGGAGTTTCAGACTGCCCTTCCAACATAGTGAGACCCCTGTCTCTAGAGTAAAGAAAAAAATTTTAAAAACAGAGACAGGCCAGGCATGGTGGCTCACACCTGTAATCCCAGCGCTTTGGGAGGCCAAGGTGGATGGATTGCCTGAGTTCAGGAGTTTGAGACCAGCCTGGGCAACATGGTGAAACCCCATCTGTACTGAAATACAAAAAATTACCCGGCCGTGATAGTGGGTGCCTGTAATCCCAGCTACTTGGGAGGCTGAGGCAGGAGAATCGCTTGAACCCGGGAGGCAAAGGTTGCAGTGAGCCGAAATGGCACCACTGCACTCCAGCCTGGGCGACAGAGCGGGACTCCTCAAAAAAAGAGAGAGATAGGATTTCACTCTGTTGTCCAGGCTGAAGTGCAATGATTCAATCATTGCTCATTGCAGCCACGAACTCCTGGGCTCAAGCAGTCTCTTGCCTCAGCCTCCCCAGTGGCTGGGACTATAGGCATGCATGCATCACCACACCTGGCTATTTTGTTTTTCTTTACTTTTTGTAGAGATAGGGTCTTGCTATGTTGCCCAGGCTGGGCTTGAACTCCTGAGCTCAAGCAACCCTCCCACCTCAGCCTCCCAAAGTGCTGAGATTACAGATGTGAACTGCTGCACCTGGCCTTTTATTTATTTATTTATTTATTTATTTATTTATTTATTTATTAATTAGATGGAATCTCACTCTGTTGCCCAGGCTGGAGTGCAGTGGTGCCATTTCAGCTCACTGCAAACTCCGCCTCCTGGGTTCAAGTGATTCTCCTGCCTCAGCCTCCGGAGTAGCTGGGATTACAGGCCCCCACCACCATGCCCAGCTAATTTTTGTATTTTTAGTAGAGATGGCGTTTCACTATGTTGGCCAGGCTGGTCTTTAACTCCCGACCTCAAGTGATCCGCCCACCTCGGCCTCTCAAAGTGCTGGGATTACAGGTGTGAACCACCTCGCCCAACCCAGCCTATTTTTTTAATTGACTTTTAATTTAAAAATCAATGCAGTCCAGACATGGTGGCTCACGCCTGTAATCTCAGCAATTTGGGAGGCCTAGGCGGGCGGATCATGAGGTCAGGAGTTTGAGACCAGCGTGGCCAACATGGTGAAACTCTGTCTCTACTAAAAACACAAAAATTAGCCAGGTGTGATGGCACACACCTGTAATCCCAGCTACTCAGGAGGTTGAGGCAGGAGAATCGCTTGAACCCGGGAGATGGAGCTTGCAGTGAGCCAAGATTGTGCCACTGCATTCCAGCCTGGGTGACAGAGTGAGACTCCGTCTCCAAAAAAAAAAACAAAACCAAACAAACAAACAAAAAAAAACACACACAATGCATGCAATAAAAATTCGAACAGTTTAAAAAAAAAAAGAAAAAGAAAAGAGGACACAATAAAGAGTGAAACTCTTTCCTAACACACTTCCTGGAAGTATCCACTGCTGAAAGCTGCATCTGTGTCCTTACAGACCTGTGTTCAATTTCCCAGACATTCAAATTACTTCCTCATTTCAGGATATGCTGTTCTGGGCTTTCTGTCCTCATCAGCCTAGGAAGCTCTAACAGGGACATCTGGATTGTAGCATTCCTTCCTCAGCACTGTACCAGATGATCAGGTACAAGGAGTGCTCTGCAAAGGTTGCTGCTCCAAAAAGCTCAAGAGAGTAGAACGTTTCCTGAGATGGGTGGACAGCTCAGGGAACTTCATGCTCATGGCCTCAGTTTGTGCCTTACTTTATGGAAAGGGCAAGGCAGGGTGTTAGGAGAATGAGATTGAGGATGGACGGATGGCTGCATTGTTATTGTTTCATGAACATCTATTAGGGAACAAAGAAGAGTAAGACCTAGTCCTTGCCCTCTGGGAGCCTGACGTCTAAAGGAGAGAAGGTATTTGTGAGAACAACACTACTAGAAAGCATATGACTGCATGAGGGTGGGGGCTTGAGAAATATACGCCTGATCTTCTGGAAGGCTCGCTGCAGGACATCCCGCTGAGAAGTTGGGAAAATACTGGTCTGTAGAAGCCATACTGAGCTAGTGATGGTCAAGGCTAAGTCTCCGGTTTCCTGGATCCTGGGTTGGGGGATCCCGCTGCACTAGTGCCCCTCAACTACACCGTGAGTCACCCCAGCCCCCAGCACAGGCCCTAGGAGAGTCCCGTAGGGAGCTCTAACCACAGAGCTGATCAAAGATGGTGACACTCAGGATGCTGGCCTCTGCATTTTGTTCACTTGAATACCTCTTTAGTATTTAGCACGTGTCTAGCCTGGATGGGCACCACAGGGGGTACAAGTGATCGGAGTTGAGCAACAGACATGAAGAGGAAATTGGCACCCTAAGGTGGTACAATTTGCTTGACAGCAGAGTTGATGGGAGGAGTCAGAGCTCATGATACGATAAGCGTGAGATTAACCTTCATGGAGAAGTCAGGGACTAGAGGATGAATTGGATGGGGCAGAGGGAAAGGAGGGAGGACGCAATGTGGGACAAGGGTGAAACACACTGGGGAGAATGCAATTGGGATTGAAAGGCAGAAGACTGGCAGAGCCAGAGGCCGTGGACCAGCTGCTGGTGGTCTGGGCCCCACAGAGCTGCAGCCCTTTTGGAACTCTTCAGAAACAGTGAATGCATAGCGCTGAAAGGAGGCCAGAGGATGAAATGGAAGTCTCAAGAAGGCAGGTTTAAGTCAGACACCACCAAAAATGAAAAACACCCCAAAACACACAGGTAAAGGCAGTTATCTTATGATCAAAGATTTGGGCACCATGACCAGCTCTCTGACATCTGGGCCCTGGGTATTGGGTATTGGCAGGGAGTAAAGGGGGAAAGTAGGAAACTTCATACCAGGCTCAGGATGAGCCAGCCTGTGCCTATAATTTCACAGCATTTGTCCATCCAGCTGTTACTGCAAAAACATGCGATAGAGCATCCTAGAGGCCCAGAACCCTGTTTTGGAAGAGCACAGGAGGACGGTTTGGGGGAGGCCATGCCTCCTAGGGAGTCATTAGGGAGGCATATCTTTTTCTTTCTTTCTTTCTCTTTGAGGCAGGCTCTTTCTCTGTCGCCCAGGGTGGAGTGCAGTGGCACGATCTTGGGTCACTGCAACCTCTGCCCCCAGGTTCAAGCGATTCTCCTGACTCAGCCTCCTGAGTAGCCGGGATTACAGATGTGCACCACCATGCTCGGCTACTTTTTGTATTTTTAGTAGAGATGGAGTTTCACCATGTTGGCCAGGCTGGTCTCGAACTCCTGGCCTCATGTGGTCTACTCACCTCAGCCTCCCACAGTGCTGAGATTACAGGTATGAGCCACTGTGCCCGGCTAGGGAGGCATATCTCTAAACTGGTAATTCTTGAGATGAGAGGTCCTGAATATCTGTCAGAATCATACACAGCCCCCAGCCCCCACTGACAAGGGTCCCAGATGTCTCCTTCCATAAGAGTCACTCTGCTAGTGAGATGCTGGCACTGTATCCCAAAGGTTGGGAACCTCTGTTCAAACTTCTTTAGACATATTTTAATTTAATTTAATGTGTTATTTTTTTTAGATAGGGTCTCGCTCTGTCGCTCACTCTGGAGGGCAACGGTGGGATCATGACCCACTGCAGCCTTGAGCTCCTGGGCTCAAGCGATCCTCCTGCCTTGGCCTCTCAAAGTGCTGGGATTACAGGCATGAGCCACTGTGCCTGGCCTAGACATATTTTAAATCCACGTCACCCCTCAGCATGATAATTTCTATAGGTTTACCAGAAGACTCTCTTTGTTATAAAAGACTACCTTTGGGCCGGGTATGGTGGCTCATGCCTGTAATCCCAGCACTTTGGGAGGCCAAGGCAGGCGGATCACCTGAGGTCAGGAGTTCAAGACCAGCCTAATCGACATGGAGAAACCCTGTCTCTACTAAAAATACAAAATTAGCCGGGTGTGGTGGTGCATGCCTGTAGTCCCAGCTGCTCGGGAGGCTGAGGCAGGAGAATTGCTTGAAGCTGGGAGGTGGAGGTTGTGGTGAGCCAAGATCGTGCCATTGCACTCCAGCCTGGGCAACAAGAGTGAAACTCCGTCTCAAAAAAAAAAAAAAAAAAAAAAAGACTACCTTTGATGTCTCCCATTCAAGATTCAAGTTCTGTATCTAGTATTAGAGGTGTAAGCCAGTGTTGACTATCTGGGTGTCCCCATACCTTTCATTCTGATGGTGTCAATATCCTTTAACTGAAAAATAGCTTCAGACCCATCCTACATATAGTGTCAAAGCCAGTGCCCCTGCCCCACACTTCAAGGATTTGGGGATGAGAAGTGGTTCTTTATTTATTTATTTATTTTTTGAGATGGAGTTTTGCTCTGTCGCCCAGGCTGGAGTGGAGTGGCGTGATCTCAGCTCACTGCAACATACGTCGCCTGGGTTCAAGCAATTCTCTCACCTCAGTCTCCCAAGTAGCTGGGACTACAGGAGCGCGCCACCACGCCTGGCTAATTTTTGTGTGTGTATATGTATATATATATATACACACACACACATATATATATTTTTGAGAAGGAATTTCACTGTTGCCCAGGCTGAAGTCCAATGGTGCAATCTCAGCTCACTGTAACCTCCATCTCCTGGGTTCAAGTGATTCTCCTGTCTCAGCCTCCCGAGTAGCTGGGATTACAGGAGCTAGTTTTTTGTTTTTTTTTTTTTTTTTTTGAGATGGAGTCTCACTCTGTCACCTAGGCTGGAGTGCAGTGGCACAGTCTCGGCTCACTGCAAGCTCCGCCTCCTGGGTTCATGCCATTCTCCTGCCTCAGGCTTTTGAGTAGCTGGGACTACAGGCACCTGCCACCACGCCCAGCTAATTTTTTTTTTTTTTTTTTTTGTATTTTTAGTAGAGACAGGGTTTCACTGTGTTAGCCAGGATGGTCTCGATCTCCTGACCTCGTGATCTGCCCGACTCAGCTTCCCAAAGTGCTGGGATTACAGGCGTGAGCCACTGCGCTTGGCGACTGCCTTTAGTTTTTAAAGAAGCATTTCTTTCTTTACACTGCCCCTATGATAGCGATACAGACATTTAGCCTGTCAGTAGAAGCTCTCTCTGCTCTATTGCCTACTACCCAAACTTGCCTAGCTGTGTTCAGCCCTTCCTCCCTCCCTCCCTTCCGTCCTTCCTTCATTCCTTCCTTTCTCTTTCTTTCTCTCTTTTCTTTTTCTTTCCTTCTTTTCTTTTTCCTTCATTTATTTCTTCTTTTCTTTCTTTCTTTCTTTTTCTTTCTTTCTTTCTCTATAGGGTTTTGCTCTATCTATCTATCTATCTATCTATCTATCTATCTATCTATCATCTATAGGGTTTTGCTCTGTCAACCAGGCTGGAGGGCTGCAGTGGTGCAATCATAGCTCACTGCAGCCTTGACCTTCCAGGCCCAATCAACCCTCCCACCTCAGCCTCCCAAGTAGCTGGGAGCACAGATGTGTGCCACTATGCCTGGCAAATTTTTAAATTTTATGTAGAGATGAGGTCTCCCTATGTTGCCCAGACTGGCCTCAAACTCCTGGGCTCAAGGGATCCTCCTACGTCAGCCTCCCAAGGTGCTGAGATTACAGGCTTGTCTCTTGACCACTTCCAAGCCATGCCCTGTTTTTTCCACTTTTGTTCTCCAGGGGTCCTGGGCCAGGGGAGCTGTGTCCAAGTCCTGGTCTCTCAAGCCCCAGCTCTGGTTCCACTTTGTCCCTGAAGACTGCTTCACCACTCTAGGTCACACGCTCCCCTGACTTCCCACAGGGGTTTTAGAAGTATCTCCAAGTCCAAGAAACTGTGCAGCTGAGAAAGACACAAAGACAGGACGGGAGGCACTCCTTGCCCTCTGGGACTTTCCATTCGGTTTGGGTATACAGAGAGCCATCATTCTTTCACTAGTCAGTGTGCTTCCAGTTGCAATCAACAGAAGCTGACTGGCCAACCAGGAAGAAAAGGGAACATTCTGGAAGGAACCTGGAATCATTCACAGACTCAAAGGTAACTGATGAAGAACCACTCTTGGATACTGACAAAAATGTGTCTCTCATTTCTGCTCCTTTCACTGTATTGGGATCATTCTTTCAAACCAACTTATTCTAAAAAAAATGGAGGATGGTCGGGCATGGTGGCTCATGCCTGTAATCCTAGCACTTTGGGAGGCCGAGGTAGGTGGATCACTCGAGGTCAGGAATTTGAGACCCGCGTAGCTAACATGGTGAAGCCCCATCTCTACTAAAAATACAAAAATTAGCCGGGCGTGCTGGCGCATGCCTGTAGTCCCAGCTACTCGGGAGGCTGAGTCACGAGAATCACTTGAACCCGCGAGACAGAGGTTGCAGTGAGCCGAGATTGCACTACTGCATTCCAACCTGGTGACAGAGTGAGGCTCCCGTCCCAGAAAACTTTATAAAGAAAAAAAATGGAGGACAAGATTATTCCTGACTCATATAGTTATAATTCACCAGAGAGGAAATTAGCTTTTTCCCTCAGCTCAGTTAGAAGAAACCCAGGGGAAAGCTTGGACTGGTCCAGCTCAGGACACATCCACCCTGGCTTAATGACTGTGCTATGACTGGGCCCATAGGTGGGCTGGCTTAATGACTGTGCTATGACTGGGCCCATAGGTGGGCTGGCTTAATGACTGTGCTATGACTGGGCCCATAGGTGGGCTGGCTTAATGACTGTGCTATGACTGGGCCCATAGGGTGGGCTGGCTTAATGACTGTGCTATGACTGGGCCCATATGATTGGGCTGGCTTGAGCCAGGTGCTCACCCTTCAAACGGTTACTGAGACCAGGCTGGAGTTGGTATGCAAGAAGATGGCAACACACATTTGAATTACATGGGTACAGCTTAGGGAGGCACGATGCCTAGAGGACGAAAGGAGCCATGTTAGGCTGCAGAAGTTCGTGGGTGCACACCACAGACACATAAACAGCCGGGAGGCACCTTGAGCCAATGCGTGTTGATTCCAGGATTCTCACTGACCTGCAGTCTAGCAGGGCATGATCTCCAGAGGATTGTTAGTGTGAGGGAAGGAATACAAAAGACATTGTTCGGCCAGGCCCGGTGGCTCACGCCTGTAATCCCAGCACTTTGGGAGGCCCAGGCGTTTGGATCACTTGAGGCCAGGAGTTCATGGCCAGCCTGGCCAACATGGTGAAACCCCGTCTCTACTAAAAAATACAAAAATTAGCCATGCGTGGTGGCGCATGCCTGTAATCCCAGCTACTTGGGAGGCTGGGGCAGGAGAAATGCTTGAACCCAGGAGGCGGAGGTTGCAGTGAGCTGAGATTGCGCCACTGCATTCCAGCCCGGGCGACAGAGCGAGACCCTGTCTCAAAAAAAAAAAAAAAAGAAAAAAAGAAATGGTTCATGCCATCTAGGGACTTGCAAGATAGTAATGGCAGTGAGACAGAAAGAGTCTTAACGAGTGGAATAAAGCCATGGATTATAAACTTTTTTGAGAAAAAAACAGGCATACATATATGTACTTATATAGGCTAATATGTATGCTATAAATCATACACATGATACAAATTTAAAGGATAAGATAATTTTTGTGTGTGTGAAACAGGGCTTTATTCTGTCACTCAGGCTGGAATGCAGTGACGTGATCACAGCTCACTGCAACCTCGACCTCCTGGGCTCAAGTGATCCTCCTACCTCAGCCTCCCGAGTAGCTGGGACTGCAGGCGTGTGCCACCATGCCTAGCTATTTTTTTTTTTTTTTTTGTAGAGATGGAGTCCCATTATGTTGCCCAGGCTGGTCTCCAACTCCTGGCTTCAAGCAATCCTCCCACCTCAGCCTTCCAAAGTGCTGGGATTACAGGCATGAGCCACTGCACCTGGCCAAGATAAATATTATTAAAACATTATTTTAACAATGTATATTATTTGTTTGTTCAAAGAATACTTTTTTCTTTCACTAAAAATGAGGGTCTGGGGTGAGATGATGTCTAAGGTCATTTTCAGCTCTGCATGTTGCATTCATATTCTACAAATGTAGAGATGCCAGGCTACAAGTACTAAATGTCTATTTTCTTGATTCTTGGAATACCAATGCTACTAATGGGAATAACTGTGAACTTCATTTAAAAGTTTTTTAAGCCGGGTGTGGTGGCTCATGCCTGTAATCCCAGCACTTTGGGAAGCTGAGGCGGGCGGATCACGAAGTCAGGAAATTGAGACCATCCTGGCTAACACAGTGAAACCCTGTCTCTACTAAAAATACAAAAAAAAAAAAAAAAAAAAAAAATTAGCTGGGCGTGGTGGCGGGTGCCTGTAGTCCCAGTTACTCAAAAGGCTGAGGCAGGAGAATGGCGTGAACCTGGGAGGTGGAGCTTGCAGTGAGCGGAGATCACGACACTGCACTCCAGCCTGGGTGACAGAGAGAGACTCTGTCTCAAAAAAAAAGAGGAAAAAAAAAGTTTTTTAAAACGGACTGGGCGCAGTGGCTCATACCTGTAATCCCAGCACTTTGGGAGGCCGAGGCGGGTGGATCACTTGAGGTCAGGAGTTCGAGACCAGCCTGGCCAACATGATGAAACCCCCTCTCTACTAAAAATACAAAAGTTAGCTTGGCGTGGTGGCACACACCTGTAATGCCGGCTACTTGGGAGGCTGAGGCAGGAGAATCGCTTGGACCTGGGAGGCGGAGGTTGCAGTGAGCCAAGATTTCTCCACTGCACTCCAGCCTCGGCAAGAGAGCGAGATTCTGTCTCAAAACAAAAAACAAAAAACAACAACAATTTTTTTTGAGATGGAGTCTCGCTCTGTGGCTTAGGCTGGAGTGCAGTGGTGCAATCTCGCTCACTGCAAGCTCTGCCTCCCAGGTTCACACCATTCTCCTGCCTCAGCCTCTGGAGTAGCTGGGACTACAGGCGCCCGCCACCACACCTGGCTAATTTTTTGTATTTTTAGTGGAGACAGGGTTTCACCATGTTAGCCAGGATGGTCTCGATCTCCTGACCTTGTGATCCGCCTGCCTTGGCCTCCCAAAGTGCTGGGATTACAGGCGTAAGCCACCACACCCGGCCAACAACGTTTTTTAAAACAGCATATGTCAAGATTTGAATGTCAGTTGGAAAAAACAAATGGGTAGTTTCTAAGAGACACAACAAAGCCACATTTATCCTGCTGAACTCATTGCAATACAAGGCTTGGACCTTGCAAAAGTAAAGCAGAGAGAAGAAATTGCCTGTTATCAAGTGCTTGCTGTATGCCGGGCACTTGGCTACATAAGCACTTTACATAAATTCTTTCTTTTAGTTCCATCAGCAACCTTAGGATGAGGTGTTCACATTCTCAGTGGAAGACAAGGACACTAGGGCAGAGTGAGCATGAGCCACAGCACTTAGTAAATGAAGGATCTGGGACTAAACAACAATAATGATCATGAGTACTTCTTGAGCTCTTCCTCTGTGCCAGGTACTGTTCTAAGCACTTGACTTGAATTCACTCATTTAATTCACACAACTCTATGAGCTAAGTACTGTTATCTATTCACCAATAATCATGAGGAAACAAGTACTAAGAAGTTAAAGACCTGACCAAGTTTCACATCTAGTAAGTGGCTGTGATGGTGAATACTGAATCAACTTGATCGCATTGAAGGATGTAAAGTATTGATCCTGGGTGTGTCTGTGAGGGTGTTGCCAAAGGAGATTAACATTTGAGTCAGTAGGCTGGGAAAGGCAGACCCACCCTCAATCTGGTGGGCACAATCTAATCAGCTGCCAGCACAGCTAGAATATAAAGTAGGCAGAAAAATGTGAAAAGACTAGACTGGCCTAGCCTCCCAGCCTACTTCTTTCTCCCATGCTGGACCCTTCCCACCCTCGAACATCAACGAACATCAGACTCTAGGTTCTTCAGTTTTGGGACGCAGACTGGCTCTCCTTGCTCCTCAGCTTCCAGATAGCCTATTGTGGAGCCTTGTGAGCATGTGAGTTAATACTTAATAAACTCCCCTTTATATAACATTATATATATATCCTATTAGTCTGTCTAGAGAAACCTAATATACTGGCAGTGCTGGGCTAGGGACCCAGACGGTCTCACTCCCCAGCCCCACTTAGCAAATCACTGTGCCACACTGTCTTCATCAGCCCGGGGGACTGCAGGCGCCACACCATCTCCACCAGCCCACGTGATTGCAACCCTGGTGCCTGGTGCTGCCTCCTTTGCAGGCTGGAAATTTGATCTGAACCTTTTTCCAGACTTCCAGGCTCAGAGTCTGGGATGCTGAAACATGCTCATTTTCAAGAGACTGAGGTATACATGTGCATCAGCTTCACCTGCATGTTGCCTCCCAGAAGCTACCTGGCAACATGCAACGTCAGAAGGTTGCCTTGTGAGTATAGAAATAGAATAGAGGGAATGAGTTCTACGACCGAACTGTTTAATGACCTCAGCATCCTATGTCCTGATATTGTGCCTGTGGAGGATAACATTTTTATTTTATTTTTAAAGACAAGATCTTGGTCTGTTGCCTACGCTGGAGTGCAGTGGTGCGATCGTGATTCACTGCAGCCTTGAACTACTGGGTTCAAATGATTCTTCCACCTCAACCTCTTGAGTAGCTGAGACTACAGGTGTGCACCACTACTCCTGGCTCATTTTAATTTTAATTTTAATTTTGTAGAGACAGGGTCTGCCTATTTGCTCAGGTTGGTCTCAAACTCCAGTGATCCTCCTGCCTTGCCCTCCCAAAGTGCTAGGATTACAGGCATGAGCCACCTCACCCATGACACATTTTTTTTTTTTTCTGTATCTGACACCAAGAGTTTGTTGGTCTGAGAGATTAGGTCAGACCCTCTGGACAGGATCTCCCTGACTGACCGGTTTCTTCAGCCTGGCCCATTCTTTCTCTAGATTTATTAATGATTCAGTGACGTGCCCGTTGATCTAGTTGCCCTGGAAATAATGCCTCTGTTTGAGATGACATTTCATATCCTTACACTCTGATTCACCATTCAATCATTTACAAATATGAACACTTCTGTGTACAACAAATGGAGGATACAGTAGACAGACATTTCAGTGGAAGAGATACAGATAATTAATATGTAAATGAGTGAAAAAGAGAGATTACTTCAGATGGTGATAAATGGTATGAAAAATTTCCAGCAGGGTAACGAGATTGAGTATTGAGATGGAGGATGGTGTGGGGCTGTAGAAAGGGGGGACTGGGGATATCTCTCTGAGGATGTAGAATCTGAACTGAGCCCTGCATGTGAGGAAGGAGCCAGTCATGATCTTAAAAGTTTCGTTCTCCGCCGGGTGGGGTGGCTCACACCTGTAATCCCGGCGCTTTGGGAGGCTGAGGTGGGCGGATCACCTGAGGTCGGGAGTTTGAGACCAGCCTGACCAACATGGGGAAACCCCGTCTCTACTAAAAATACAAAATTAGCCAGGCGTGGTGGCACATGCCTGTAATCCCAGCTACTAGGGAGGCTGAGGCAGAAGAATCGCTTGAGCCCGGGAGGTGGAGGTTGCAGTGAGCCGAGATTGCGCCATTGCACTCCAGCCTGGGCAACAAGAGCGAAACTCCATCTCAAAAAAAAAAAGTTTCGTTCTCAGAGGAAACACTTCACGCCTATCCTGTGAAGTGGAAGTTCATTGCTTGTCTCCAGAGAGACAATGGTATAAATTAGGCAGCTATGGTTGCCGTAGTGTTGCTGGTATTGGGGATTAAGTACATGGCGATTAAATGGTCATGTGGCCGTGCTTTCCAACAAAAATTCCAGACACATCGTCTTACATGTAGCATGAGGACTGGAAATATTTGAAATCAGGGTTGTCTTGGACTTTCCAAGGCACATGATTACCATAATTAACAGGCTACAGAGGGCTGGCCTGGGCCTGACCCCACGCTCCACACTGTTGATATGGAAACTGTTCCCAGTTTCTAAAAAGCCAAATAACAGGTGAACTTTTGGAATAAAATCACTTGCCTTTTGGAACCATATTTCTTTTCCCCAACAACATTACATGTTCTTTCCTCAGCAAAAAGTCTGAGTTGTACACATTTTTGAATCCCTCAAAGCATTTAGCAGAGTGCTGGGCATACGGAAGACAGCAGGATCCCGTGGCTTTGCCTGAAACGCGGAACCTGGTCTTGACTTTTGAGTGACTGAGCCCTCCTGGTGCCCGCACTCTGGCCGGGAGTGCCAAGCAGCGTTCTCCCTCCCGCCGCACGGGGGCACAATGGGAAGCCTGCACAGTGAGGAAGAGCGGCTGGAGCCGGTCTTGTGCCGGGGAGGTCGCTGCTCCCAGAATGCACCTGGCATCAACACGGCGGCGGCGGCGGCGGCTTCCAACAGGCTCTGGGGCGCCGAGCGGACAGGAACGCAGCACGGGGGCTCCGAGGCGGGGTCTGGGTGTTGAGGGGCGACTGGAGCCATGGCGGAGTCGGCGCCTGCTCGGGTAAAGAGGCACCGGCGCGCTGGCTCGAGGGCGCGTTGGGGATGGCGGAGTCCCCTGCCGGGGGCGGGGCTTCGCGGTTTGGACGCCGCCGGGGTCTTGGTTTCCCGGGGCTGCCGTTGGCGCGGGTGAACGCGGACCCTCCTCTTCGCGACCCCAGTGCTCTGCCCTTTTTTCCCTCCGCTTCCTTCTGCAGCGGGGTCGGAGCCTCGGCGCCGTGCGCCCTTGCCCAGAAACTTCTCTGACGCTTGCTTTAGGTTGGTGGATTTGTGACCCTGCCCACACATTTTCTCTTTCGTGCCAAAAGAGCCCGTTCCCAGGTTGGAGTGTTTCCAGATTGGAAACGGTCTCCGTCGCTACGAGTGAGCTCTCCCGCTGCCCGGGAGACCCCAGGACTTGCCTCTCTGCGACCACCTCCTCTTCGGTCCGATGTGTTGTCGGTTTTTCCAGTGCTGCAGATTTCTGTCTGGGGGTTGCAGCCACAGGTTGAAGTCAGCCTGGGCTGCTTCTCCTTGGGGACGGATGTTATCTACAGTGCAGTTGCTGCATTTTGTTTGTAGAGCTGCCCAAACTCTCTCCTTCACCCCCCCCCCAACACCCCCCTCCCAGCCCACCGACCATCCCCATTCTGGGAATGTCAAGATACGGAGTTTGGTGTGAGGAAAATCCTATTTGTGGAGTCACGAAGCTTTCAGCTGTCCATTTGGGTGATTTTAGGCAACTGTGTTCGCTTCTCTGGGTCTCTTTCGTTTTCTTAACTGTAAATCGAGAGTGTTGGAGTAGTTGCTAGATGATCTCCAAGGCTTTAAGTTTCCTTCCAGCTCCGACATTCTCATACTGTTCCCATACTGTTTCAAAGTAGTGGTTAATTTAACAACACCAGAGGGTTTGCAACGGAAGGGGCAGCTGGAATTGAATTGACTTTTAATGAAGTGTTCCTTGGTCTAGAAACACTTCGAGAATCATGTTAGATCTTTGTGAGAATGGAGGGCTAAGGAAATTCTGTGGGGAAAATTTGACCATGAGCAGGGTGCGCTATATTTGATTCTTGTAGAAAGTGCGTTAAGAACTAAGAACGGAGAGATTGGGAGACTTAGAGAACACAGTATTTGCTTTCAAGGAAGTTAACAGTTGAATTGGGAAGACAAGACACAAATGTTTACAATATTAACCTCATCTGACTCCTATAAGCTAGGCTGAGCCAGTCAAAGACTTGGCTTTTCCACAAGATCTAGTTAGTGTTAGAGTCCGGCGAGAGGATTCTGCCACAGTTCTTCCTGCCAGGTCACTCCACAATTACCTACATGTCGTCAGTAGACCTTGTTAGGAAGAAGCCTTAAAGGTCCACCACAGGCCAGGCGCAGTGGCTCATGCCTGTAATCCCAGCACTTTAGGAGGCCGAGGAGGGCGGATCACGAGGTCAGGAGTTCAAGACTAGTCTGGCCAATGTGGTGAAACCCGGTCTCTACTAAAAATACAAAAATTAGCCGGGCGTGGTGGCGGGTGCCTGTAGACCCAGCTACTCGGGAGGCTGAGGCAGAATAATCGCTTGAACCTGGGAGGTGGAGGTTGCAGTGAGCTGAGATCGTGCTATTGCACTCCAGCCTGGGTGACAGAGCAAGACTCTGTCTCAAAAAAAAAAAAAAAAAAAAAGTCCACCACAATCCCAAACTATGCCTTAAATAACATGAATCTGTCGTTGTAGAACTTATTCAAATTGTTCTTGAGCCTGTTTCTCTTCTCAGACATTTCAGGTGTCTGTCATTTAACAGTAAGCTCAAGTAGGTGCCCTGATGAAACAACTGAAAATGCTGGAAAACCCTGCACATAAATGCATTTGAAATGTATTTTAGTAAAGAATACTTGGAGCCCCAAAACTTAAGCGAAAGAGGAAACTCGAAAGTGATAGAGTTCTGAAGCCAACTTTGAGGGCATTGGCCAAACATTCATCTTTGGTGTTTATGATTCAAGGGACCTGCAAAATGGAACACACATCTCAGAGCCTAAGATGGAAAGTCTAAGAAGCTCCCTAACCCAATCCCATGAAGCAGAGAGTTCAAAGGGTAACATTCTGTGTAAGGGTGAACTGAAAGTAAGGTCTGACCTTCAGATGATTGCAAAGTAAGTTGTTAAACCTTGGCACTGAGATTACAGGCGTGAGCCACCGTGCCTGGCCATAGTTTCGTTTCTTTTCTTTCTTTTCTTCTTTTTCTTTTCTTTTCTTTTTTTTTTTTTTTTTTTGAGAGAGTCTCGCTCTCTTGCTCTGGCTGGAGTGCAGTGGAGCAATCTTGGCTGCCTGAAACCTCTGCCTCCCAGGTTCTAAGCGATTCTCCTGCCTCAGCCTCCGGAGTAGCTGGGATTACAGGCATGCGTCACCATGCCTGGCTAATTTTGTATTTTTAGTAGAGATGGGGTTTCACCGTGTTGGCTGGGCTGGTCTCTGAACTCCTGACCTCAGGTGATCCACCTGCCTCGGCCTCCCAAAGTGCTGGGATTACCACTGCATGAGCCACCGCACCCGGCCTAAGGCAGAGGGAATTCTTAAAAGCAACCAAAAAAAAAAAAGACTACCTTGAAATGAAGTACAGCAAAATGAATGGGGGCCAGCTTCTCAACAGCAACCATGGAAGCTAGGCAAAAGTAGAATGATATTGTCAATAGGCTGAAAGAAAGTAACTGTGGTCCCATAGTTTTATATGCAGCAAAAATGTTTCAGAAACAAAGATGTAAAGAAGACATTTTTAGACAAATTAAAAATGACAGTTTGCTACCAATACACTCTTAGAAAAGGAAATTCTAAAAGATATACCTCAGGTAAAATGAAAATTTTCCCAAATAGAAAGTCTGAAAATATGAGAAGATGTGATGATGCATGGAAATGGTTAAATCTAAACAAATAGTGACTTAATAAAACGTAACAATTTCTTGTTGTGTTAAAAACAATTAAAATACATGATGGCATTGATGTAAATATGAGGAAGAGATGATCAGAACTAAAGTGTTTAAAGGGCTTTGTTAAAGGGCCTTCTATGTATGTTTCCCATAATTTCTAGGATACTTGCTAAACAACTCGAAATTGGTCGTATAACTTACAGATCAGAAAGGGGGATAATGGAATAAGAAAAAATTAATGTAAAAGAAGACAAGAAAGTAGAGAAGAAAGATGGGATAAATAGCACAAAAAAGGTAAAAATAAATCAAAGCTAATGAACAATTACAATAAATGTAAATGAATGAAATGTTCAAGTTAAAAGGCATAGATTGTCAGGATGGGGGAAAAATCCAACTAGATGGTTTAAAAGAGTTACAACCGGCTGGGCGTGGTGGCTCACGCCTGTAATCCCAGCACTTTGGGAGGCAAAGTTGGGTGGATCATGAGGTCAGGAAATTGAGACCATCCTGGCTAACACAGTGAAATTCCGTCTCTACTAGAAATACAAAAAATTAGCCAGATGTGATGGTGGGTGCCTGTAGTCCCAGCTTCTTGGGAGGCTGAGGCAGGAGACTGGCGTGAACCCAGGAGGCGGAGGTTGCTGAGGCAGGAAAATCACTTGAACCTGGGAGGCAAAGGTTGCAGTGAGCCAAGATTGCGCCACTGCACTCCAGCCTGGGTGACAGAGTGAGACTCCGTCTCAAAAAAAAAAAAAAAAAAAAAAAAAAGAGAGAGAGAGAGAGATACAACTAAAAGATAAGGATATAGAAACAGTTGAATATAAAAGGTCATGAAAAAATATGCCAAGCAAATACTAATGAAAATAAAGTTGACAAATATATTTAGTATCTTTAGAGATAGAAGGCTCCTACTACTTTTGTAATGGTAAAAGACTCAATTTACCAGCTAGATACAAAATTTCTAAACCTGTATGCACCTAATTACATAGCCTAAAAATATATAAAACAAAACTGACAGAATTGCGAGAAAGATTCACTGTTATAATAGGAGATTTTAATACAACCTTAGTATTTTATCAAATAGAAAAGACTTATAAGGGTGTAGTGCATCCAGTAGAACTTCCCAAGATGATAGAAATGTTCTGCTCTGCACTGTTTAATACAGTGGCCACTAGGCACATGTGGCTTTTGAGCACTTGAAATGTTAGCTAGTATGATTGAGGAACTGAGTTTTAAATTTTATTTATTTATTTTGAGACAGACTCTCACTCTGTCACCCAGGCTGGAGTAGAGTGGTGCAATCTTGGCTCACTGCAACCTTGCAACCTCTGCCTCCCAGTTTCAAGTGATTCTTCTGCCTCAGCCTCCTGAGTATCTGGGATTACAGTCATGTGCCACCACACCCGGCTAATTTTGTATTTTTAGTAGAGACAGGGTTTCATCATGTTGGTCAGGCTGGTCTTGAACTCCTGACCTCAAGTGATCCGGCTGTCTTGGCCTCCCAAAGGGTTGGGGTTACAGGCACGAGCCACTGTGCCCGGCTAATTTTATTTAACCAGCCACATGTGACTAGTGGATATTATATTGGAAGCACAGGTACAGAAATGATTATTTTTATTTTTATTTTTATTTTTTTTCTGAGACAGAGTCTCTCTCTGTTGCCCAGACTGGAGTGCAGTGGTGCGATCTCGGCTCACTGCAAGCTCCGCCTCCCGGGTTCATGCCATTCTCCTGCCTCAGCCTCCCCAGTGGCTGGGACTGCAGGAGCCCGTCACCACGCCCGGCTAATTCTTTTGTATTTTTAGTAGAGATGGGGTTTCACCATGTTAGCCAGGATGGTCGCGATCTCCTGACCTCATGATCCGCCCACCTTGGCCTCCCAAAGGGCTGGAATTATGGGCGTGAGCCACTGCACCTGGCCAGAAATGATTTTTTTAATCCATATATCTATCAGTATATAATATCAAAGTGTAGAGACAAAATGAAAACAAAAGAGAGGAGGCAAAAATAAAAACCTATTGGGAATGAAAATGTGTGCATTCCCATGTCTATTGGTTGATGCTGGTGTGTAGACTGAGATTGTAGGTAAGGCCGTTGAACAGAACACTTCATGCACCCTCTTCATGTGGCTTGGGATTTCTCAAGGGATTCTAGCACCTGGCTGCCTGTGATTTGCCCCACTTGACAGAGAGTGGAGCAGAGACGAACCATCCATGTGCCACCCTCCTTTAACTGCAGATTCACATGCAAAGTAGATGATGATGTCTTAAGCCACTAAATTTGGGGATTATTTGTCATACAGGAGTTGATGGTTGGAATAGATACCTAGGGAAAATGTTAAAACATTGAAAGATATTAAAAATGGAGTCTCAAAAGGCTGGGCATGGTGGCTCATGCCTATAATCCTAGCACTTTGGGAGGCTGAGGCAGGTGGATCATTTGAGGTCAGGAGTTTGAGACCCGCCTGGGCAACATGGTGAAACCCTGTCCCTACTAAAAATACAGAAAAATTAACCAGGAGTGGTGGCACACACCTGTAATCCCAGCTACTTGGGAGGCTGAGGCAGGAGAATCACTTGAACCTGAGACAGAGGTTGCAGTAAGCTGAGATCATGCCACTGCACTCCAGCCTGCAGCCTGGGCGACAGAGCGAGAGACTCCATCTCAGAAAAAAAAAAAAAAAAAGGATTTGCATACTATGTTTATGAATTGAAATTCATCCTAAATGTGTCACTTTTCTGTTGGGTGGGGTGACTCATGCCTGTAATACCAGGACGTATAATCGTGCCACTGCCCTCCAGCCTGGGTGACAGAGTGAGACCGTGTCTTTATTTATTTGAGACAGAATCTCTCTCTGTCACTGGAGGGAAGTGGTGTGATCATGGCTTCCTGCAGCCTCAATCCCCTGGGCTCAAGTGATCTTCCCACCTCAGCTTCCTGAGTGGCTGGAACTATAGGCACCTGTCATCATGCCTGGCTAATTTTATTGTCTTTTTGTAGAGATGGGATTTCACCATCTTGCCCTGGCTGTTCTTGAACTCCTGGGCTCAAGCTGTCCTCCCGCCTCAAGCCTCCCGAAGTGCTGGGATTACAGACTCGAGCCACTGTGCCCAGCCATAGATTCCCCAAGTGGGATTGCTAGGTAAAAGGGTTTTTAATGACTTGAAATTTTTCTTCCCCTAAGAGTGTGTAGTATTTTTCATTCCTTCCAGGAGTGTTATGAGAGTCAGTTTACCACATTATAGTCAGCTCTGAATGTTATTCTTTGTGTCTGTTTCATGTTTGTCAGTCTGATGGGTGAACGTGCTTTCACTTAGTTATATTTGGATTCCTGATTGTAAGGTGGTTGTGTTTTCATTTGTTTATTGACTGCCTGCATTTCCGCTTCCATGAATGATTTACAATCTGCAGTTTTATTTTGGGGTTCTTGACCTTTTTCCACTTCATATTCTGTTTACAAATATTCTCTCCTTGTTTTTAGACTTTGTTTATGTTATCTTTTATTACAGCTAGCATTTTCTCCTACTTTGACATTCTAAGACGTGTTTATTGAGATACCATTTACATACAGTAAAATTTACTCTTTAGGCAGATAGTTCAACAAATTTTGACAAATGTGTAGCCAGCATATTACCAAGATAGAGAATATTTCCATCATCCAAGAAAGTTCCCTCATATCCCTTTATAATCAGTCTTTTTTTTTTTTTTTGAGACGGAGTCTTATTCTGTTGCCCAGGCTGGAGTGCAGTGACGTGATCTCAGCTCACTGCAGGCTCCGCCTGCTGGGTTCACACCATTCTCTCGCCTCAACCTCCCAAGTAGCTGGGACTACAGGCACCTGCCACCACACCTGGCTAATTTTGTTTTTGTATTTTTAGTAGAGATGGGGTTTCACCATGTTAGCCAGGATGGTCTTGATCTCCTGACCTCATGATCAATCCGCCCTCCTCGGCCTCCCAAAGTGCTGGGGTTATAGGTGTGAGCCACTGTGCCTGGCCTATAATCAATATTTTTCTCCTATCCCTAGCCCTTGGCAACCACTGATCTGATTTCTGTCCCTATAGTTTGCTTTTTTCCAAACATGTAAATGAAACACAAATGTAGCCTTTTGTGTCTGAATTCTTTTTTTTTTTTTTTTTTTTTGGAGTTTTGCTCTTGTTGCCCAGGCTGGAGTACAATGGTGTGATCTCGGTTCACCGCAACCTCCGCCTCTCAGGTTTAAGTGATTCTCCTGCCTCAGCCTCCCGAGTAGCTGGTATTACAGGCATGCGCCACCATGCCCGGCTCATTTTGTATTTTTAGTAGAGATGGGGTTTCTCCATGTTGGTCAGGCTGGTCTCGAACTCCCAACCTCAGGTGATCCGCCCGCCTCGGCCTCCCAAAGTGCTGGGATTTTAGGTGTGAGCCACCATGCCCGGCCCTTCTTTTTTTTTTTTTTAAGTGGTCTTACTTTGTCACTCAGGCTGGAGTGCAGTAGTGTGATCATGGTTCACTGCAACCTTGAACTCCAGGGCTCAAGTGATCCTCCCATCCTCAGCCTCCCAAGTAGCTGGGACTATAGGCACATGCCACCACGTCTGGCTCATTTTAAAAAAATTGTGGAGGTGGGGGTCTTGCTTTGTTGCCCAGGCTGATCTTGAACTCCTGGGCTCAAGTGATCCATCTTAGCCTCCCAAAGTGTTGGGATTATAGGTATGAGCCACCGTGCCTGACCTTTGTCTGATTCCCGTCACTTAGCATGTTGTTAAACATGTCAGTGATTTTGGTTCCTTTTTATTACATAGTAGTAGACTTAGTAGTCGAAGTAGTAGTCTACTACTAAGTAGCAGGCTTAGTAGTCTTCTAAGCTATATAGGAAAAATACACTAAATATATAATACGGTATATAATGAAGTGTCTTATATAGTGTGTCTGTTTCCTAGGGCTGGTGTAACAAACTGGGAAGCTTAAATAACAGAAATTCTGTCTCACAGTTCTGGAGGTTAGGAGTCTGAAATCAAGATGTTTGCAGGGTTGGTTCCTTATGAGTTTTGTGTTTCTCTCCTAGCTTCTGGTGGTCCCATGTGTTTTCTTGGTTTGTGGCAGCATAAGTCCAGTCTCTGCCTTAATCTTGACATGGCCCATTATGTATTGGTGTAACAGAATACATGAGGCTGGGTAATTCATGAAGAAAAGAGGTTTAGTTGGCTCACAATTCTGGTGGCTGGAAAGTTCAAGATTGGGCAGCTGTGTCTAGTGAGGGCTTCAAGCTGCTTAAACTCATGGCAGAAAATGGAAGGGCAGCAGGTGTGTGTAGAGATCACATGGTGACAGAGGAGGCAAGAGAGAGACCAAAGAAGTCAGACTGTTTCACAACCCACTGTAGTGGGAACTAATCCATTCCTGCCAATGACAGCTCACCCCTGTGGGAGCGCATTAATTTATTTATGAGGGATATGCCCTCATGACCCAAACACCTCCCACGAGACTTCACCTCCCGACACTGCCACATTGGAAATACAATTTCAACATGGGTTTTGGTGAGGACAAACCATAGTAGACATCTTCTCCCTGTGTGTGTGTGTGTCTGCGTCTAAAGGTCCTCTGTTTTAAGGACATCAGTCATTGGATTAAGGCCCATCCTAATGACCTCATTTTAACCTGATTACCCTTGGAAGTACCTTATTTCCAAGTAAGATCACATCCTGAGGTACTGAGGATTAGGGTTTTACTGTATTATTTTGAGGAGACACAATTCAACCCATAACACTGGATGGATCACAATTTTTTCATCCATTGACTGGTTCGTGAACATTTGAATTGTTCCCATCATGCTAGATAATTCAAAACAGAAGACAAGAAGAAACTAGCTTAATCATTCTTTTCAACCTCTTACTATGTGGAAGAGGAGGGGGCTTATTCCTTTGCACAGATTCTCACCTACATTCCTGTCTAGAAAAAGTGCTACTGAGCACAGAATGCTGGGCCACAGAAAGAGGAGACTCACAGACTTAAAGTAGAAGCAAAACAAACATGATGGCATGCATATATCCAGTTTAATATTTTGTTTTGTTTCGCTTGTATTTGTCTTTTACATTGAACTTTTCTTTTAATCTCTTGCAGGAGGATGTATTTAAGCTTTTGTCTCATGTGTTCCATGATGAATTAACTGACTTGAGTAACTAGAGTAGGTCATGGCCAAACTTAAATGTTCAGTTCTGCACCAGTCAGTTTCCTTTTGTCCCATGTTCTCTGGACCACAACCCTTGGCCCCAGCAGTTCTTTCCGAGATATTTCCTCTAGTGTCTCGGTCTTGGTGGCCTCACTGTGGTTAGAGAAGCAGCCTTGAATAAAGTGTGTGCTTTATTCAAATAAAGTGAAGTTTGCAGAGGGGGTTAGGACTGAAGTGAACGTGCAGGGAGACAGTAGGGGGACAGCTTGGGGAAGACTTCCCCAGTGTTGGTTTCAGTAATTTTAGCTTCTATGACAGTGATTTTCCTACTGTCAGAGACAGCTCATTAAAGTGAAAATTATAAGGAAAATGTCAGTAGACTTAGTCACATCATTTCAGTAAATATTTTTTAAGGATTTATTCACCATCCCAGCTGCTAGAGTGCAAAGATGAATGAATTAGGTCTTGTAGGTCCTGCTAAGGAATTTTGTCTTTATTGTGGGGAGCCATTGAAAGTTTTCAAACGGGTGACATGATCAACTATGAAGTCTGGCAGGGATGTGGAAGCAAGATAAGATGTAAGTGACATCTTTTATCATATAGTCCAAAACATTAAATAAAAATAGGTTTAAAAATGAACACTGATACAGGAGTCTCAGAGAATATGCTAAGCATAAAGCATAGGTAACAGAACATACACGCTATAATTTCACTTTTGTTGAAAAAAAATAAACTAAAAGATGAAAAAAAACTTTAGAAATACACCAAAATTCAAACAGCTTCTTTCTTTCTTTTTCTTTTTTGAGACAGGGTCTCACTCTGTTACTCAGGCTGGAGTGCACTGGCACGATCTTGGCTCACTGTAGCCTCAACCTCCTGGGCTCAAACCGTCCTCCCACCTCAGTGCCCCAAGTACCTGGGACTACAGGCATGCATCACCATGCCTGGCTAATTTTTTGAACTTTTTTGTAGAGACAGGGTTTGCCTTGTTGGCCAGGCTGGTGTCAAACTCCTGAGCTAAAGTGATTCAGCTGCCTTGGCCTCCCAAAGTGCTGGGATTACAGTTGTGAGCCACCACGGCCAGCCCTAACAGCTTATTGTGTGTGAGAAGATTTTGTGTAATATTTTCTTTCTATTCTTCATCATTTTCCAACATTATTAATACAATATCTATGTATAATTTTTAGTATCAATAAAAGACATGCTTTTTTTTAATTAAAAGAAACTAGATAACTCTGAGCACTGATACACTTGAACACTGCTTTCTTTACTTGATGTTTGGAAGTGACATTGACCCTGTGTCTTTAATCCATCAGCACAGGAGAAAACGACGCTCCACACCTTTAACTTCTTCCACACTTCCTTCACAAGCAACAGAGAAAAGCTCCTATTTTCAGACCACCGAGATTTCACTCTGGACGGTGGTGGCCGCTATTCAGGCTGTGGAGAAGAAGATGGAGTCCCAGGCTGCCCGGCTACAGAGCCTGGAGGGGCGCACGGGGACAGCCGAGAAGAAGCTGGCTGACTGCGAGAAGATGGCCGTGGAGTTCGGGAACCAGCTGGAGGGCAAGTGGGCCGTGCTGGGGACCCTGCTGCAGGAGTATGGGCTACTGCAGAGGCGGCTGGAGAACGTGGAGAACCTGCTGCGCAACAGGAACTTCTGGATCCTGCGGCTGCCCCCGGGCAGCAAGGGGGAGGCCCCCAAGGTAGTCTCATTGAGGATTAAAAGTTAGAAGAGAAGGGGGAGCCAGCCCTTTAATATGTAAGCACCTCAGTTGCTGGCTTTTCTGTCATAGCTGTGAGTAGAAGCACTCATGGTGTGCCATTGGTGATTCCAGGTGTCCAGGTCACTGGAGAATGATGGCGTCTGTTTCACCGAGCAGGAATGGGAGAATCTGGAGGATTGGCAGAAGGAGCTCTACAGAAACGTGATGGAGAGTAACTATGAGACACTGGTCTCTCTGAGTGAGTAGCAGTTTTCTCCCTAGAATTCTGTCTCAGACATACTACAATTCCTGGCTGGCAGCCTGTAATTCAGACCACACCTGTGGCTCCTGTGGCTGTGGGTCCTCTGTCGGCCTGCACGGGCAGAGAAATGCCAGTCTCTAGGTCCTCCCATTTACAGACCTGCACGGGTGGAGAAATGCCAGTCTCTAGGTCCTCCCATTTACAGAGACTTTTGGAAAGCTCGCAGCATTGTGCCTTTTGTGTTTTTTTTTTTTTTTTCCTGTGGTCACATAGTCTGTTCTTGATAGTATTTTCTAATAAATAAAATGTCATATACCCTATAGTGTGATATGGCTAGGGTTCCTCATGTTGTTTTTTAATTTATTTTATCTTTTTTTTTTCTTTTTTTCTTTGAGACAGAGTCTTGCTCTATTGCCCAGGCTGGAGTGCAGTGGCACAATCTTGGCTCACTGCAACCTCTGCCTCACAGGTTCAAGCGATTCTCCTGCCTCAGCCTCTCGAGTAGCTGAAATTACAGGTGACTGCCACCACGCCCAGCTAATTTTTGTATTTTTAGTAGAAATGGGGTTTCACCATGTTGGCCAAGCTGGTCTTGAACTCCTGACCTCGTGATCTGCCCACCTCAGCCCCCCAAAGTGCTAGGATTACAGGTGTGAGCCACTGCGTCTGGCCTGTTTTATCTTTTTTTTTTTTTTTTTTTTTTTTGAGACTCTGTCACCTAGGCTGGAGTGCAGTGGTACGATCTCGGCTCACTGCAGCCTTGACAGCTTGGGCTCAAATGATTCTCCCACCTCAGTTTTCCGAGTAGCTGGGATTACAGGCACATGCCACTGCGCCTGGCTAATTTTTTAAATTTTTTGTAGAGACGTGGGTCTTACTGTGTTGCCCAGGCTGGTCTTGAACTTCTGGGCTCAAGTGATCCACCCACGTCGGCCTCCCAAAGTGCAGGGATTACAGGCGTGAGCCTCCGCACCTGGCCTCTCATGCTGTTTTTAATATTTAAGACTATTTGAGATGGGTGTGGTAGCTCACATCTGTAATCCCAACACTTTGGGAGGCCAAGGTGGGAGGATAGCTTGAGGCTAGGAGTTCGAAATCAGCCTGGTCGACATAGTGAGATCTCTGTTGCTTAAAAAAAAAAAAAAAAAAAAAAGATGATTTGATAACCCTATGTTACCTTGGATGAGGCAGGCAGCACAGGCTGATCAAAAGCATTTTCTTGGTGTTTGGCCGGAATTATAGCTGGTCATTGTGGTCTCAGTGATTTTTTCTTGTTGATTAGGAGTGCTGCTTAATAGATATAAGTCTTTATATGCAAAATGTTACCTATTACATAATAAATGTGTTTTGTTTGGTAGACAAAGTCTTTTAAAACCTAGGTACATGGAGGAGTGTCAAGTGCCTGGAGCAGAGTAGGAGGTAAAGGAAATAGAAAATGGGCCAGAAAAGTGACCTTGTAAGCTTGGTTGGGTCACATGCTCTCATTGTGACTGTTTCCTTGTCTGTCCCAGTGCCCATCTTACCTTGCAGTGCCTTAGCAAGGATGAAATTAGATCCCCTGAAAGGAAGCATTGGCAAGACTTAAGCTGCACGCACATGGAGAGGCAGAGGTGGGTGGTGGTGCCATCAAGGGCAGTGGTAGCTCTGTAGCCTGCCTGCCTGAGCCACAGCCCCTCTAATGGAGGAGCACTGGAGGCAGCAGCTAGCCAAGTCAGTTGTTATGATTGGCCAGAATTTTATAATTGTCCCAAACTGCTAGGGGAAACTGACAAGAACAGTAGCCTTTGAATCTATATTTCCTCCCTGCCATTGGTCATCTTGGTCACTGGCAGCTGATCAGTGTGCAGTGAGCTTTCACTCTCTCCTGGGCTCACACTGTGCTGTTTCCCACCCAGAGGTCCTTGGCCAGACAGAGGGAGAAGCGGAGTTGGGTACAGAGATGCTGGGTGACTTGGAAGAGGAAGGTCCTGGTGGTGCCCACCCAGGTGAGTGGCTCTGGAATATTCTGTTCCCCTTCCATAGCCCTCTGTAGCCTAGAGTGAGCTTTCCCACGGCTGAAGTGCCAGGTGCTGACTTGGTGACCTCATCTGGCATCTGCTTGTTCTGGACTCCTTTATGATTGTCGTTAGTTCAGCTGTTACATATGCCTCAACTCCTACCACCCTGTGGGGTCTTTAAGACTAACGGCCACATCAATCATTATTCTTCATGCCCTACAGAATAGAGTACCGTACGAGGCGGTAGTCAAAACCTGCTGGAGATTGAGCGTAGGTATGTCAGAGCTTCAGGAGGGAAGGCAGTGCAGGAAAAGCACTTGTCAGTAGGTAATTTGGGAGGTTATGGAGGAAGAACAGAGCTGGACATGAATTCTTAAGCTGTAGGTTTAGTTTGTCTTTAATCATTCAAATTTGTTATTTTAACACTCTTAATTGAGTATAGTTGTTACAGTGTATTCTGTCATTTTTCACAGGGATTAAATATAAATTTGTAGACAAGCTTGGAGAACTATCATTTACAGTATTGTTTTATAAGAGTAATACATTTATATTTCCAATCAACATTGGAAAAACTGTACATGAATATAGTTTTATAGAAGTCTTGGAACCTAGCCAGTGTCATCCTCCTCCACGTTATCCTAATTCACTTATTCCTGGGGTGCTTCTGAAATTCACAGATGTTTGTTTGGTCCTGAAGAAACCAAAGGTACTAGAATGTGATCTTTTTTGTTGGTCTTCTTCCACTTTGCAGCAGGTGGGGTCATGATCAAACAGGAGCTACAGTATACACAGGAAGGCCCTGCGGATCTTCCTGGAGAGTTCTCATGCATTGCTGAAGAGCAGGCTTTCCTGAGCCCAGAGCAGACCGAACTCTGGGGTGGTCAGGGCAGTTCTGTCCTCTTGGAAACAGGTCCTGGGGACTCTACTCTAGAGGAGCCTGTTGGTAGTAGAGTTCCTAGCAGCAGCAGAACTGTGGGCTGCCCGAAGCAGAAATCTCATAGGCAGGTACAGCTGGACCAGGAATGTGGGCAGGGCCTGAAGCTGAAAAAGGACACTTCCCGCCCCTACGAATGTTCTGAGTGTGAGATCACCTTCCGCTATAAGCAGCAGCTGGCCACACATCTGCGCAGCCACTCTGGGTGGGGGTCTTGTACACCTGAGGAGCCAGAGGAGAGCCTTAGGCCCAGGCCACGGCTGAAACCACAGACCAAAAAGGCCAAGCTGCATCAGTGTGATGTGTGCCTGAGGAGCTTCAGCTGCAAGGTGAGCCTGGTGACCCATCAGCGTTGCCACCTGCAGGAGGGGCCCAGTGCCGGCCAGCATGTCCAAGAGAGGTTCTCACCCAACAGCCTGGTTGCCCTGCCTGGCCACATCCCTTGGAGGAAAAGCCGGAGTTCCCTCATCTGTGGTTACTGTGGCAAGAGCTTCAGTCACCCATCTGACTTGGTGCGGCACCAGCGCATCCACACGGGTGAGCGGCCCTACAGCTGCACTGAGTGTGAGAAGAGCTTTGTCCAGAAGCAGCACCTCCTGCAGCACCAGAAGATCCACCAGCGGGAGCGGGGTGGGCTGGCCCTGGAGCCCGGAAGGCCCAATGGCCTGCTTTAAGGGTGCAGCCCCTCGCCCGTCTGGGGGATGGAGGGGGGTGGCATTGGTTCCCCCGAAGAGACACTGCAGTCAGGGACTGAGTTCTTCCTGAGGGCAGTTGTTTGTGATTGCCTTCCCTTGTCCCAGTACCAAGCCAAGCCCAAAGGCTGTCCTGAAAACCCTGTGGAAGAAGAGTCCAGGCCAGGTCTTCATCCTGCTGCCAAGTTTGCTGTTTCTTGGCACCTTCAGGTCTCTGGTTTTCTCATTCATGCCAATGCTTGTGGGCTGGGGTTGGCGTTCTGACCCCACAGGGACTGGTGGCTGGTTCCAGGGCTCGTCCCGGCATTTCATGTCTTCCCACGGGGTTGAGTCGGGCCATAGGGGTGAGCAGCTGCCTGGAAGAGTTCTGGGAAGTATAACCCTCCATTTTTTCTTGTTTTATAATCTCTTTGTTTAATAATAAGTAGAAGAAATAATTTAAATGAACTGCTTAGCCCTGCTCTGAAGAACCTTTTTTGGAATTAGATTTTAGTTGATTTTTTAAAGAATACAGCCCAACACTTGTTTTTTACATTTTAAGAGTTGTAGAAGTTGTTCCTAACTTGGGGACTGGACCTACCCTCTAGGAGGGAGTTGTTAATGGGGCTCTTTTAGCCCACTGATGCTTACTTAGGCCGGAGAGCAGGGGACACGGTGCTAGGTTCCCTCGTGCAGTGCCTGGTGCTCTCAAATTGTCTCAAAAGGACCAAGAGGAAAAGAGTCGGAGGGGTAGACCCTGCAGCCCTGTTGAGAAGAAAGATTCCAGTGAAGTTGCTGATGGTATGGCTGTGGTCTGGGACTTGCGGTGTCTCGGCATACCCCTCTCCTCTTCCCACCTCCTCCTGGCTATGTTCTGCAGCCTCCCAGAGTAGAAAACTACTTTGTTACTTAAGGTTGTTCACCTTGTACCAGTGGTTATTTGAGTTTGTTCCTATTACACCAATCCTTACTTGAGGTGGTTCGGATTACAGTTTCCAAATGCATTCTGGGATTGCCTATTCCAGAGAGGGTACAGAAAAAGCACACAGATGGCTTGTCTCAGGAGTGTTGAATGTGTGCCCCGCTGCTGTCTGGGGGGATGGGAGTGGGCTCTGGGGTCATATGTGAACATCCCCTTGGATGATTTGCGGTTGCTTAGAATAAAACTTGCTACTAGCAAAAGAAAAAAAAAAAGTTCATACTGGATGTTTTTCTCCGTTTGTCAAGAACACTCTCCTGGGGCCAAGGTGGAGGAGAGGCACCTGACCTGGAGTGATGACAGGGAAGGACTGATGGCACAGCCTAACCTGCACTTTTACTTAAACCTAGGACAGAAGACAAGATGTGGCATGGGTGAAAATTTTCAGGGGACTGTACTTATGATGGTGGAGAGCTGGAGACAGTCTGGGTGATGGCTATTGGGAGGTAGAAAGAGTAGGTGAAATGTGGGTACCCCAGGGAGTGCCAGGTAGCTGTTACGAGCATTGGCTTAGATATATGCGTAGCCATCTGGATCCATCTTAAACACAATGCCGAGGGGAAAAGGTAAGAAATTGAGATCTATAATGTAACACCATTTATATAAATTAAAAATGCATGTACACAAAACATTTTGTAAGAACACTTGGGACCAAAGGAGACCCGTTAAAAGACATTACAGTTTTCCACGGGGAGAGCGAGCAAATAAGTAGAAGGAAACTTGGCTTGCTGTAAGGCAGGGGTCCCCAACCTTTTTGGCACCAGGACTGGTTTCGTGGAAGACAGGTTTTCCACAGACAGTGGTGGGGGACGGGATGGTTTTGGAATGAAACTGTTCCACCTCAGATCATCAGGCGTTAGATTCTCATAAGGAGCGCACAACCTAGATCCCTCGCGAGCGCAGTTCACAATAGGGTTCATTCTATGAGAATCTAATGCCGCCGCTGATCTGACAGGAGGCAGAGCTAACCTGCTGTGTGGCCTGATTCCTAACAGGCCATGGACCAGTACTGATCCACAGTCCAGGGGTTGAGGCCTCCTGCTATAAGGTATGGGATTGTCTTGTTACAGAAACAACATGGAGGGAATCCTTGTAGGGCTGGCGCTGTGTGAGGTGGGTAGGTAGCTTCGTCAGGAAAACCTTTGCAGTTTCTTTCCTGTTTCTTCTGCAGTTTTTTCTTACCCTCAAGCCTTTGCCTTATAGACACCCCCTCTGTCCTGTCCTTAGTTACTCTTACTTCCCAATTGTTGAGCGTTTTAATGTGAGCAGCCTTGGGCCTTGTGTTGTGGGGAAAAGCGAAGCACAAAATATGGTCCTACTTCTCCAATTAAGTTAAGTTTTCCTTGAGGCTGGGAAATAATTGTATCAAGCAATTGGACTCCTGCTGACACTTGTTGAATACTTGTGTGCTAGGCACTATTCAAATTATTTCCATGAAAACAAATCCTTATAGTTTTGGGTGGTGAGCATGATTTTACCTAGTTTTCCGTATGAGATGTGGGAGGAGGCCTGAGAAGTGAAGTAAGGTGGCAGAGGTGATGGAAACCCAGAGCATCTTGCTTCCGAGCCACACACTTGGCTGTGGGGTGGTGGTGCTTCTGCAGTTAGGAACTCAGTGTCAAAGCTGGATCCTGTGTCCTGAAGTGTGGGCTCTCTGCTGGCAGCAGCGGCATCCCCTAGGAGTGTGAAATGGTGCAGACTCAGGCTCCACCTAGACCCCCGAGTCAGAATCTGCATCTCAGCAAGCTCCCCAGGTGATTCTGTGCATGCAGAGGCACTCTCTTATGGTATACGAAAGATTCGCCTCTTCTTGTCTGCTTCTGCCATCCTCCATTGAAAGCCTGTTCTGCCAGGTGCTGAGGAGAAAACAGGAAATGCACTGTCAGAAGGACAGGGATGATCAAGTTAGAAAGATTGAAGTCAACAGGGAAGAATTAAATGCCAAATATTAGTGACTCATCTATCCTGCCTTTTCTATCCTTTCTGTTCCCACAGTTAAGGTCCTAGTCATCATTCATCCAAACTTTTCAGTAACCAGTAGGTCTTCTGCTCTTAATCACATCCTTTTTGATTCCAGAGTTAATGTCCTTGCACACAACTGGATGTAGACTTTCCTCAAAACCTTGCAATGGCTTTTAGCAGCTACTGATAATGAGCAGTCTTTTTAGTATAGAACTCAAGACTCTGAAAACCTGCGTCACCCTGCATTTTTTCTGTTTTCACTCTATGCTGCTGCCACATTGGGCTTCCTGTCATTCATTCATTCATTCATTTATTTTTTTTAAAAAATTTTTGAGACAGAGTCTCTGTTGCCCAGGCTGAGTGTGCCATCACAGCTCACTGCAGCCTTGACCTCTTGGGCTCAATGGATGCTCCCATCACAGCCTTCCAAGTAGCTGGCACTACAGGTGTGCACAAACCATACCCAGCTGATTTTTGTACCTTTTGTAGAGACAGGGTCCCACTATGTTGCCAGGCTGATCTTGAACTCCTAGGCTCAAGTGATCCTCCTGCCTCAGCCTCCCAAAGTGCTGGGATTACAGCTGTGAACCACCACGTCTGGCCTCCTGTCTTACTGAATAAGCCATGCTCTCTCCCTCTCTCTGCAGTGTCCTTCTCTGAACCAAACACTATTTTTCACTGTTTTGGCTTATAAGTTCCTTCTGTGAAAGCTTCCCTCATCCATTTCTTTCATTGAACAAATACATATTGAGTCCCTGTTATCTAGACACTATTTTAAATACACATCAATGAAAAAAAAGATCTTTGCCCTTATTGAGTTTATGTTCTTTCAAAATCAGTTTTCTTCCTTTACTGCACCTTTGCACAGCCCTTTCCTAGGTGAGGACAGTATTCCATTCTGCCTTAGAGTTTGTTCACTCACAAATATCTGAGTATCCTCCCTGTGCAGAATTCTACAGAGGGGTACAGGGATAAATCTTGCTCTTGGACTTACAGGCTACTAAGGGAATATAAGATAGAATAGTAATGTCTTCAGATAAGTGAGGGTAAAAGGCTTTAAGCATTCAGAGAACAATTATTTTAGATGTGAGACATTAGGGAAGACTTCGTGATAGGTGGTATTTGAACTGGCCTTTTAAGGATGGGAGGAAGGACATTCTAAATGGAGGTGACATGACCAAGTCAGGAGACATTATGGGACATGTACAGAAGAGGAGTTCATCCAATTTCGGGAGGGTGGAGTGTGAGAAGGAGAGTAGTGGGTGTTAAGAGTTGGGTCAGGCTTCAAGGAGTCTGGATTTTATTCGGTTGATAATGGGGAGCTGAAGAATTTTGAGCAAAAGAGTGACCTGATTCTAGCTGTGATTTGGGAATACTAATAAGAATTATACTGTGCTTTTTGGGGGGTGTGAGGTTTGGGATATGTTAGAAGGTTTCAAGTGAGATCAAGGAAGAGCCAGTGAGGACCTACCTGATTGGGTGCAGCTGCAGTGGGAAGGGAACAATAGATAAGACCAAGAAACAGTCACAGGATGTGATGCTGTGGGAATGGAGGGACCATTTTTTTTTTTTTTTTTTTTTTTTTGAGACGGAGCCTTGCTCTGTCGCCCAGGCTGGAGTGCAGTGGCGCCATCTCAGCTCACTGCAAGCTCCGCCTCCTGGGTTCAGGCCATTCTCCTGCCTCAGCCTCCCAAGTAGCTGGGACTACAGGCGCCTACCACCACGCCCGGCTAATTTTTTGTATTTTTAGTAGAGACGGGGTTTCATCGTGTTAGCCAGGATGGTCTTGATCTCCTGAGCTCGTGATCCGCCCGCCTCGGCCTCCCAAAGTGCTGGGATTACAGGCGTGAGCCACCGCGCCTGGCCTCAGGAGGGACCATGTCTTACTCCTATCAGCCTCCACAGCTCTCAGCACAGGTGCTTGGCACATAGGTGCTCAGCAAATGTTTGCTGAATGAGAAAGTATAATGGGTGTTCACAGAATAGAGAGCTGGGTGTTGTCTGAAATAGAGAAGGCTTCTATGGAGGAAGTGGGATTTGGCTGTACTTCTGGTCTCCCTCTACTAATGCTTCCGTTCCTAACATCTTTATAATTCTGTGTGGGTCCACCTCCTAATCTAAATTACATTCCTGGCTTGGAGGATGAGGGAGCCACAGGAATTCTGTCTCTGACCTGCCACTATCTCTTGGCTGAGGATGTTCTGGTGGGGACAATGGCACTTGAGTGTGCTGACCTCTTGTTGAGTGACCCTGGGTACTACTTTGGTGGCCCTCAAATTGTGACAACCCTACCTTCTGCAGGTGGAGTCACCCTTGTTACTCCACGGACTGGGCCTCCACTGGATGTTGTCAGTTCACCCAGAGATAATCAGGTCCTGGAAATCTGATCCCCCAAAAAACAAACTCACAAGAGACAGATTAACAATTAAAGATGAATGTAGGCTGAGCGTGGTGGCTGATGCCTGTAATCCCGGCACTTTTGGAGGCCGAGGTGGGTGGATCTCCTGAGGTCAGGAGTTTGAGACCAGCCTGGCCAACATGGTGAAACCCCGTCTCTACTAAAAATACTAAAAATTAGCCTGGCATGGTGGCAGGAACCTGTAATCCCAGCTACTCGGGAGGCTGAGGCAGGAGAATCTCTTGAACCTGGGAGGTGGAGGTTGCAGTGAGCCGAGATCGTGCCATTGCACTTCATCTTGGGCAACAAGAGCGAAACTCCGTCTTAAAAAAAAAAAGCCACCATGTAATTTTAATTTATATCAGAGCTGGCTTGACACCCCGGCTGGTCTGCTCAGAAACCACATTATGGTGCAAAGTGTTCGTTTATTAAATATATTTATAAAATCTGAGCATGGGAATGGGAGGTAGCTGTGGGACCCTGATAAACAGTGCCAAGGTTTTCGAACTGTGATCACCAGACCAATAGAATCAGCATTTCTTGGGAACTAGTTAGAATTGCAAATTCGCATCACTTTCATCCCCTCCTGTTTCAGACCTAGAAATGTTGAGGTTTGTGCCTAGCATCCTGTATTTTTAACAAGAACCCTCAGTGAACATGATGCACACTGAAGTTTGAGTACCACTGACTTAGAGAAACTTTTTTTCTAAAAAACGAAGACTAGCTGTCAAACATTATAGCACTCTTTCCTCAACAGAGCTCATTAAATCCTAGCATTTTTGTCTCCAGCCCATTTTCCTGACCCTTTCTTTCTTTCTTTTTCTTTTTTTTTTTTTTTGAGATGGGGTTTTGCTCTTGTTGCCCAGGCTGGAGTGCAATGGCATGATCTCGGCTTACTGCAACCTCTGCTTCCCGGGTTCAAGCGATTATCCTGCCTCAGCCTCCAGAGTACCTCACCACCACACCCAGCTAATTTTTTGTATTAGTAGAGATGGGGTTTCATCATGTTGGCCAGGCTGGTCTCGAACTCCTGACCTCAGGTGATCCATCCGCCTCAGCCTCCCAAACTGCTGGGATTACAGGCATGAGCCACGGCTCCTGGCCCATTTTCCTGACCCTTTCTGTTTGCATTGGACCTTAACTGTTATTCTATAACGTCACCATTTACTGGTATTTTATAATCCTGAATAGATTGGACTGATCCCTGATAAGATCCTAGGGATGCTCTTAATGTCTTTAGTGCATACTTGCAGTTTGTGTTTTAGATTGGGATAGTTCAACAAGAATTTCCAAAATGAATAATGCCAAATATTTATTTGATTTGTTACCTTAAAGTAACACGTCCTAACCTTTCCGCAAATTTTGGGGTTCACCTTACTTAGGATATCAGTTTGTGTTTTTTCTGATAGTTGACCACGCTTTTGCTTGGCTCAAATATTTGTGAAAATAACTTCTCACCCTCACCCCCCCCCCCCAAAAAAGAAAAAACAAAACCAAAACCAAAAAACCCCAAACAAACCCAAACACAGAAAGAAACAAAACTGCAGATTTCTAGCGGGAAGAGTTTGCCAGCTTGTTGGACAAAGACTGTGAGATGAATGGGAAATGCAGAAAAGACAGAAAACAAAGCTTCAACTGCATACAGCACATTTAGTTCAATATGCCTCAGCACAGGCCGAGGAAAATGGGTCCTGCGGTTTATTCAAGATGCCTCAGGGCCTAAATGAGGGATGGACTGATTCACACTTGCTGTGATCTCAGCCTGGACCAAAGCTACAGAAGGGTCCTCGTGGGTGGCTGAGGACTTTCACCAGGCGGGCCCCGGGAGGAGGAAGGGACCCCAGAGTCCTCAGGAGGGGAGGGCAGGCTTAGGAAAAAAAAAAAAAAAATCCTACCATCTTCACGTTTGTTCTGTCAAATTTAAAAGAGACTTTAAAAACGTTCATGTAAGTTTCCCTGGCTTCTCCCTGGGTACACACGTATCCTTTTTACTTTCCCCAACTCAGTTCTGTGGTGCGTGGGAGGCGCTGCAACAGAGTCTCGGTCCGGACTGGAGCCCCGGCGAGGGCCGACCCCGTTCCCCACGCAGCTTTCCCTCGCGAGGTTTCGCACTTTCCAGCGCGGTTCCTTCCCGCAGCCCTCCCGGCTCCCGCGTGGGACGCAGAGAGAGGTTGGGCGCCGCGCTGGCCCGGGAGTGGCTTACGCCTGACGTAGCCCCGCTGGAGGCCGTGGCACGCCCGCCCTGGCGTCAACTCCCGCGCCCCGGGTGAGGGTGGGTGGCCGCGCCTGGGTCCCGGACGCCGCGGGCGCTGAAGGCCTCGGGAGGGCGCGGGGCGGCGGCCGCGGGCGTGCGGTCCTACGGGCTGCAGGGGGCGCTGTGCGCGTCCTCAAGCTCGGCCGCCGAGCGCAGCTCTTTTTTAAAGGGCCAGCGGGGCACGTGGCTCGGGACGCAGTTCGCTGCCGCCCGGCAGTAGCTCTCAGGTTAGGCGGGTCCCGCTCCGCTTCCGCCGTCGCTGCCGCGCCGCCCCGGGCCCGACAGGCCGGGTCCAGGGACTGCAACCCAGCGAGGGACGCGGGCAGCCATGGCCGAAGCGGCGCCTGCCCGGGTAAGCGCCCTCGGCCCCGCGGACGCCCGGAAGGCCCAGGCCGCCGCCGCGTGAGCCCGCGCGAGGGACTCTGGCCGCGCGAGGCCGCGGGGTGAGAGGGCCTTGCGCGCAGCCTCCGCGCTCGTTGCCCCCGGCCCATCGCCCAGCCCGCGTCGAAGGCATTGACCGGGCGGCCCAAATGCCAGGCCCGGCGGGCGGGGCCCCGACGTCAGCGGCTGACGATCCGGCCCATCTGCGGCCTCAGCCAGGCCGGGCCCCAGAGTCACGCTCGGCGACGAGGAGGCCGCGCCTTAGGAGTATTGTCCCATTTGAGGCCTCGCGGCCCCCCCTACAGCAGGCTGGGCGGGCAGGGGCCGCCAGCCCCACGGGACAGTAGCGGAGGCTGAGATGGGAAGGGACAGGCCCAGGGTCACGCATCTATTAGAGGCGGGAGCCTCACGCCGGGGCAGGGATTTTGGAATTAGACACTTTAAAACGCCTCATATTCTACTTTTGCCAAAGAGAAAGATTGTGTCGTTTACAAGAGAGATAGTAGATTTTTTTAAAAAAGATTACTGTAGCAGATTTTATTTAATTTTTTTTTTTGAGAGGGAGTCTCGCTCTGTTGCGCATGCTGGATGGAGTGCAGTGGCACGATCTCGGCTCACTGCAAGCTCCGCCTCCCGGCTTCAAGGGATTCTCCTGCCTCAGCCTCCCAAGTAGCTGGGACTACAGGCGCCTGCTACCACGCCTGGCTAATTTTTCTATTTTTGGTAGAGACTGGGTTTCACTATGTTGGCCAGGCTGGTCTCGAACCCCTGACCTCGTGATCTGCCCGCCCCGGCCTCCCAAAGTGCTGGGATTACAGACGAGAGCTACCGCGCCCGGCCATTTTAAAATTTTTTAATTAAAAAAGTATATATATATACGTGTGTGTGTGTGTGTGTGTGTGTGTGTGTGTGTGTGTGTATATATATATATATATATATTTTTTTTTTAGACACAGTCTCACTCTCACCCAGGGTGGAGTGTAGTGGCGGGATCTCATCTCACTGCAACCTCTGCCTCTGCCTCCCGGGTTCAAGGTATTCTCCTGCCTCAGCCTCCCAATCCCAAGTAGCTGGGATTACAGGCGCAGGTGCCTGTCTCATTTATATCTATCTATCTATCTGTCCAGATACATATCTATATGAATAAGTTTATTCATAAGAATACACTATAAGTATTCCTATACAGAATTTTTCTCCTGGAGAAGGAAGAATCACATCAGTTTTTTTGGCATCTTCATCTATATAAGTTAGGCCAGTTTAGCAGATTTTAGAATCTTGGTTTGATATAGTGCAGTATGTCCAATTGGGAGATTATAATCCTTTGGCCATTTTTGACATACTGGAAAACGCTTGTAAAGGCTCAATAGATGATACCTACTATTATTAATACACCTCAGTGAAGGTTTTGAAACCTTGATTTTTCTGGATACTTTTATTAAAGTATAACTTCCTCTCCCTCCTCTTAGTGAGTGTGCTGAGCTTCTTTTTGGGTTCCCTGAGTGCAAGGGAGAGAAAAAGCGTTGAGGATTCTGCAGGTTTATAGTCCTGTTCCCTGGGAAGAGGGGGCCCTAGAAGGTGACATCATCCACTCCCCCTAGCCTGGGGCTCACTGCTTCACTACCTTTCAGATCACTCCTGTCCACCTGCTCCTCCCTTCTTGCAGCACTTGAGATCCCAAAAAACTCCCCAAAAGGGACAGATTTGCCCTGGACTCTTGTTAGCCCATCCTATCACACTGTTGTTGTTTATAAGTATTCCTATACAGAATTTTTCTCCTGGAGAAGGAAGAACCACATCAGTTTTTTCTTCATCTTCACTGTACATTTACTATGATAGGTGTTCAGTAATTGTTATTGAATGAATGAAGCAATTATAGATTACTAGTGCTAAGGGGGAGGGGCAGTGAAAATCTCTAGGATGCGTTGTCTATGCTAGAATCTTAAAAACGAGAGAGACTCAGGCATACAGAGGATGCATATTGAGAGCTGATGTGAAGTTGGAGGAGGGCCGGGTGGGTCCTCGGAATCCACAGGAGGCTGGCATGGCTGGAGCACGACAGGAACTGGATGGCTCAAGGTCAAGAGAGGTCGGCTGGGCCATGAAGAAGTCTAGATCTTATGCCAGGTACACTGGGAAGCTATTGAAGAGTTTTAAGCAGGGTACTGAAATGATCTATTTGTGTTTTTAAAAGATTACCAGGCCGGGAGCAGTGGCTCACTGACTCACGCCTGTAATCCCAGCACTTTGGGAGGCTGAGGCGGGCGGATCACAAGGTCAGGAGTTTGAGACCAGCCTGGCCAATATGGTGAAAGCCTGTCTCTACTGAAAATATAAAAATCAGCTGGGTGTGGTGGCGGGCGTCTGTAGTCCCAGCTACTTGGGAGGCTGAGGCAGGAGAATCGCTTGAACTTGGGAGGTGGAGGTTGCAGTGAGCCGAGATTGCGCCACTGTACCCCAGCCTGGGCGACAGAGCAAGACTCCGTCTCAAAAAAAAAAAAAAAAAAAAGATTAACAATTACTCTGTGGAAAGTGTATTGTCGGGGAGAAGCCTGGAAGTAGGGGAGAAGGCTGGAAGTGGGGGAGAAGGCTGGAAGTGGGGGAGAAGGCTGGAAGTGGGGGAGAAGGCTGGAAGTGGGGAAATCAGGTGGGCAGGACCGCAGTGGCCCAGGCCAAGCAAGGTGATGGGAACTTGGACTAGACACTGGCAGTGGAGAAGGAGAAACATGGATGGATTTGAGGTAATTTTGGAAGTTAGGACCTGATGGTGATTTAACCATGAAGGATGAATGAAATTGAGGAGTGAGATGTTGATTTGTCTCTCCAACAAGGCTTTTAGCAGCACCAACCAGGACTGTGCCCATTGCGCATGCACAATGAGGGCTTGTGAATCAGATACCAGGGTAAGCTGAGGCACTTGAGAAGCTTTTTCCAAGGCACTGAAGGACAATGGAATAAAAGAGGTGGAGGTTAAAAAAAAGGCCATATGAACTATTTATACCATATCCCTGAGCTGGAACCATCACCATAATCACTGTCATTGTCTCAGTCTGCTCAGGCTGCCTTGGTTCCCGGCAGGGCTCTTTTCCTGGTTTGCAGACGGCTGCCTTCTCATTGTATCCTCACGTGGCATACAGCAAGATCATCTCCCTTGTGTCTCCTCTTACAAGGGCGCTAATCCTATTTATGAGGGCTCTGCCTTCATGGCCTAATTGCCTCCCAGAAGCTCCACCTCCAAATACCGGCATATTGGGGATTAATGCTTCAGCAGATGGATATTGAGGGAGACACAAGCATTCATTCCATAGCAGTCAGTGTCATCTTAGCCCTGCAACATGGGGCTCATGTTTATTATCTGTGCTGTGCTACACATTGTACTAAGTGCTTTGTACACAGATTTTTCTTAATTCTCTCAGTGCTATTGTATAGGTACTATTATTATCTCCATTTTCTAGATAGGGAAGGGAAGTTGGAAGCTGTTGAAAACACCTTGCCCACAGTTGGCCAGCTTGTAAGTGGCAGAGCTGAGTTGCACCTGGGCTGTCCACTGGGGAGTCATGTTCTCTGTGCCACAAAGCCTTGTCCTTTCATTTTTAGAAGAGGAAACTGAGACCCAAGAAGGGGAGTCACTTGTTTGAGACTGCACGTGGTTGCTCAAGCCTGTGGGGCATGCCCCGTCTCCATAGCTAGCCTGTAGGACAGGAGCCGGGGCTGTTTTTCTTCCACTTTCCCACTTGCTGACACGTTGGTCCAGCCACTATCTCTTGTATCAGTTAGGCTGGATTCCTAACTGATACCCTAGCCTCTCCCTCTCCCCCCCAGTCTGCTGCTAACTCAGGAGCCCAGATGGGACTTTACCATGGCAGGTGTCATTTCCGAAGTGTGTTTTTGAGGTGGAAGTTTTGATTGTATAATTCTCATAACATCTCTCTTTTCTCTTCTTGTGAGCAGGACCCCGAGACAGACAAGCACACAGAGGACCAGAGTCCTTCGACACCCTTGCCCCAGCCAGCTGCTGAGAAGAACTCGTACCTCTACTCCACGGAAATCACACTGTGGACGGTGGTGGCCGCCATTCAGGCCTTGGAGAAGAAGGTGGATTCCTGCCTGACCCGCTTGCTGACTCTGGAGGGGCGCACGGGGACAGCCGAGAAGAAGCTGGCCGACTGCGAGAAGACAGCTGTGGAGTTCGGGAACCAGCTGGAGGGCAAGTGGGCCGTGCTGGGGACCTTGCTGCAGGAGTACGGGCTGCTGCAGAGGCGGCTGGAGAATGTGGAGAACTTGCTGCGCAACAGGAACTTCTGGATCTTGCGGCTGCCCCCGGGCAGCAAGGGGGAGGCCCCCAAGGTAGCACCGGGACACCCTGGGGTGGGGGAGCTCGAGGGGCTGAGCCTGTGAGCGTGTGGGTGAGTGAGTGCGACACTTATGGTTCCAGGTGCCCGTGACCTTCGATGATGTGGCCGTGTATTTCTCTGAGCTGGAGTGGGGCAAGCTGGAGGACTGGCAGAAGGAGCTCTACAAGCACGTGATGAGGGGCAACTACGAGACGCTGGTCTCCCTGGGTAAGGCCACGGAGGGAGGATCTGGGCCTCTGTCCACAGGTTGTCTGTGGACAGTCTGTGTCTTTGCTTTGGCTTTTGGTACTTTGGGCATCTCTGCATCTCTGTGGGCATGTGGGGTCCAGCTCTTCCTCATTTCTTGTTCTGTGCACAGATTATGCAATCTCCAAACCAGACATCCTCACCCGGATAGAGAGGGGAGAGGAGCCTTGTCTTGACCGGTGGGGCCAGGAGAAGGGGAATGAAGTAGAGGTGGGACGTCCAAGGATGATGGGCACTGGTAAGTATAGGAGCCAGATGTGGTTGGGGGGCCGCCAGGGGCTAGCTGCACCATCGCCTACCCTCTCGGGCTTCCCAGACAATCAGGGAGGGCAGGAAGGGAGCATAGACCATTAACCCAAAGTGGGACCACTCTGTACAAGGCCACCCTGGGCAGGAGTGGGTGGCTGGCTTGAGCCATAGGGTTTCTATATCTGTCTAAGGTGGAACATCACACTCACCTTACGTGGTTGTGATGACTGAGTGATAAGTGTTAAGCATGTACATACTGATCACTTTATAATAGTGGAGACTGGCCTGGCGCGGTGGCTCACGCCTGTAATCCCAGCACTTTGGGAGGCTGAGGCGGGCGGATCATGAGGTCAGGAGATCGAGACCATCCTGGTTAACATAGTGAAACCCCTTCTCTAGTAAAAATACAAAAAATTAGCCGGGCGTGGTGGCAGGCGCCTGTAGTCCCAGCTACTCGGGAGGCTGAGGCAGGAGAATGGCGTGAACCCGGGAGGCGGAGTTTGCAATGAGCCGAGATTGCGCCACTGCACTCCAGCCTGGGTGACGGAGCAAGACTTCATCTAAAAAAAAAAATAATGGGGACTTAGTAATACCTCCACCAGCAGCACTGCTGCCTCCTGGCATCTTCACGTGTGTCCATGTCCCCGCTATTGCTTGTGTCCCCTATTGCAGTCCCACAACCCCAGCCTGTGGCAGGAAGGCATGTCACGTGCTGGCTTCCATTTGTGTACATGGCCCTTGGTAGGAGGGCCAGGCATGCCCTGTCCTTGTAGCTGGTATATAGGACAGTGGTTCCAAAGGGGACTGCACATCACAATCCTCTGGGGAGCTTTATTTTTTCAATTAAATTTTAATAAAGTAGAATAGCACAGCGAATCTCCAAATGATCGTCACCAAAACTCAACACTCTGCTGGGTTTTGCCACATGCGCTTCATCCATCTGTTTTTACCCTTTTCCTGAACAATGACCACATACCATGATCACACCCACAGAATATCAGAATATCATCTAATACCATCTAATACCTAGCCTTTGTTTTGTTTTCCCTAGTTGTCTCAAAAATGTTTTCTATGGGTCTTTGGATCCTAATTGTAATACACCCAAGTCCACATTTTACATTTGGTTTACGTCTCTGAAGTATATTAAAAAAACTTATGACAATCCCCCCAGTCTTTTTCAACAGCTTTATTGAGATATAATTCATATACTATATAATTCACCTGTTAAAGTGTACAATTGAGTACTTTTAAAAAAAATTTCAACTTTTAATTTGGATATAGGCATACACCTGCGGGTTTGTTACATGGGTATATTGTGCCCAGGTAGTGAGCATAGTACCCAAGCTTTTCAATCCATTCTCCTCTCTTTCCCTTCCCCCTGTAGTAGTCCACAGTGTCTATTTTTGCCAGGTTTATGTCAATGTGTGCTCATTGTTTAGGTCCCAGTTATAAGTGAGAACATGCAATATTTGGTTTTCTGTTCTTGCATTAGTTCACTTAGGATTATGGCCTTCAGCTTCATGTTGCTGCACAGGACATGATTTCATTCGTTTTTATGGCTATGTAATATTCCATGGTGTATATGTACCACATTTTCTTTATTCAGTCCACCACTGATGGACACCCAGGTTGATTCCATGTCTTTGCTATTGTGAATAACATTGTGATGAACATACGTGTGCATGTATATTTTTGGTATAATGATCTATTTTCCTTTGGGTATATACCCAGTAACAGGATTGCTGGGTCAAATGGTAGTTCTGTTTTAAGTCCCTTGAGAAATCTTCAAACTGCTTTCCACAGTGGCTGAACTAACTTACATTCCCATCAACAGTGTATAGGCATTCCATTTTCTCTACAGCCTCACCAGCATCTGACGGTTTTTGAGTTTTTAATAATTGCCATTCTGACTGGTGTGAGATGGTATCTCATGGTTTTGATTTACATTTCTCTGATGATTAGTGATGGTGAGCATTTTTTCATGTTTGTTGGCCGCTTGCATGTCTTCTTTTAAGAAATGTCTGTTCATGTCCTTTGCCCATTTATTGCTTGTTGATTTAAGTTCCTTATAGATGCTGGATGTTAGACCTTTGTCAGATGCATAGTTTCCAGATATTTTCTCCCATTCTGTAGGTTGTCAGCTTACTCTGTTGGTAGTTTCTTTTGCTCTGCAGAAGCTCTTTAGTTTAATTAGGTCCCACTTGTCAATTTTTGTTTTTGTTGCAGTTGCTTTTGAGGACTTAGCCAAAAATTCTTTGCCAAGGGCAATATCGAGGAGGGTATTTCCTAGGTTTTATTCTAGAATTTTTATAATTTGAGGTCTTACATTTAAATCTTTAATCCATCTTGAGTTACTTTTTGCATATGGTGAAAGGTAAGGGTCTAGCTTCATTCTTCTGCACATGTCTAGCTAGTTACCCTAGCAACATTTTTTTTAAATTTTATTATTATTATACTTTAAGTTTTAGGGTGCATGTGCACAATGTGCAGGTTTGTTACATATGTATACATGTGCCATGTTGGTGTGCTGCACCCATTAACTCGTCACTTAGTATTAGGTATATCTTCTAATGCTATCCCTCCCCCCTCCCCCCACCCCACAACAGTCCCTGGTGTGTGATGTTTCCCTTTCTGTGTCCATGTGTTCTCATTGTTCAGTTCCCACCTATGAGTGAGGGCATGCGGTGTTTGGTTTTTTGTCCTTGCGATAGTTTGCTGAGAATGATGGTTTCCAGCTTCATCCGTGTCCCTACAAAGGACATGAACTCATCATTTTTTATGGCTGCATAGTATTCCATGGTGTATATGTGCCACATTTTCTTAATCCAGTCTATCATTGTTGGACATTTGGGTTGGTTCCAAGTGTTTGCTATTGTGAATAGTGCTGCAATAAACATACGTATGCATGTGTCTTTATAGCAGCATGATTTATAATCCTTTGGGTATATACCCAGTAATGGGATGGCTTACCCCAGCAACATTTATTGAATAGGGAAGGGAGTCTTTTCACCATTGCATTTTTTTTAGTCAGACTACAGGTGCACGCCACCATATCCGGCTAATTTTTGTATTTTTTCGTAAAGACAGAGTTTCACTATATTGCCCAGGCTGGTCTCAAACTCTTGGGCTCAAGCAGTCCACCTACTTTTGCCTCCGAAAATGCTAGTCAGCTTTTTTAGTTACCCTGAGATTCAGTCTGCACTGAAAAGGCAGAATGGATGCTTAATTCTTTCCTTTATCAGTTTCAGAATGAATGAAGAGTTGCTGCCTTAGTAGCCTCCAAAGGTGACCCATGACTTGGGCTTCTTTTTTTTCCTGAGTTAAGTTATTGTGACTTCACAGATAATTGGATATTTCATATGTGCTAGGCCTTTGCAGCCATGATTTTCCTGCTTAAACTGTCCCATCTTTAGCTAGTGGGAGCCTCTTTTTTAAGTTGGCCCATAGGTTATTCTGATGTGACCTCAGTGGCTTTCAGACACCATAAGGTGTGCCAGATTTATGTGTGTGCTTCCTGCTCCAGACCTGGAATCAAAATGTCTCTGGATTTTTGATTTCTATTGGTGAGGAGTGGTATTTAGAGATTACAATGTGAGTGTTAATTGTTGCTGATTTTTGGCACTACTTCTAGGCCTGTTCAGAAAATACATATTTTTGGAAAGAAAAAAGAAATCATGAGTTTATACATTGATATTTCTAATTCAAATTTAATGTTCTTTGGTTTTTTTTCTTGAGACGGAGCCTCGCTCTGTCGCCCAGGCTGGAGTGCGAGCTCACTCACTGCAAGCTCCACCTCCCGGGTTCATGCCATTCTCCTGCCTCAGCCTCCTGAGTAGCTGGGACTACAGGTGCCCGCCACCACGCCTGGCTAATTTTTTGTATTTTTGGTAGAGACGGGGTTTCACCGTGTTAGCCAAGATGGTCTCGATTTCCTGACCTCATGATCTGCCTGCCTCGGCCTTCCAAAGTGCTGGGATTACAGGCGTGAGCCACGGCGCCCAGCCTGGCTCTTTGATTTTATATTGTTTATCACTTTCCTTTTAGGTGGCAATCTTAAATTCTCAACGAAATTTGCATAATTTCTTAAATGATCTTATATCCAGTCCTACCACTTCATTATCCTATAATTTATCTTACAATTTCAAAACAGTGAAGCCATAATACTATTAACAATTAGACTTCCATTGAAATACAAGATTTCTTTGCAGTTCTTTTTGTCCTCTGTATACATTCTATGCAGGACTTATGGGCAAAATAATGCCTTTTAAAGTCACTTGAAATATTTTCTCTATGTAGTTATGTCACCAGCTTGGTATACAGTTGCATTCATTTGTGTATTTTTAGATTTTTTATTGATTATTCTTTTTGGTTTTTGATTTAACTTAATTTTTTGAATATGTAAGATATTTTATGTTTGCGAAGTCAAAATGATTTAACAGGGTAGATTCAAGGAAGTCTCGTTTCCATCCTTGTGGCCTCTCACTATAGATAATCATCTTGATTCCTTTCTTATTTATACTACCATGTTTCAATAACACAGAGATATATTTGTATTCCCACCCCTGTCTTATTCAGTAGGTTGTGGAGATCACCTCATATGATTATGTACAGATCTTCCTCAGTTCTTCTGTGGATTCAGAATGTTCTGTGGTATGATAGTTTATTTAACAGTCTGTACCTTGGACATTTAGGGTATTTCCAGTATTTTGCTGATATAAATAATGCTGCAGGGAGTACGTTGTGCATAAATCAGTTCATGTTTTTGCCAACGTATCTTTTTTTTAAATTTATTTTTTGTGAGAAGGAGTCTCACTCACTCTGTTGCCCAGGCTGGAGTGCAGTGGCACGATCTCGTCTCACTGTAATCCCTGACTCCTGGGTTCAAATGATTCTGGAGCCCCAGCCTCTGGAGTAGCTGGGACCACAGGTGTGCGCCACCACGCCTGGCTAATTTTCGTATTAGCAGAGACGGGGTTTCATCATGTTGGCCAGGCTGGTCTCTAACTCCTGACCTCAAGTGATCTACCCTCCTCAGCCTCCCAAAGTGTTGAGATTACATATGAGCCACTGTGCCTAGCCCCAATGTATCTTTGAGATGTAATCCTGGAAGTTGGATTTCTGGGTCAAAAGGTAAATGAATATGTTATTTGGGGAGAATTTATCTCCAAATTCCCCTCCATAGGGCTCGTATCATTTGCATTCTCATCTGTGTTGTGAGAAAGGTTCTCATGCCAACAGAGGGCAAACTTGTAGGATTCTTTTCAGTGTAATAGTAAGAAGTCTGTCAGTGTAGTTTTAATGGCACCTCTCTTACTGAGTGTGGATGAGTTTTTTTTTTCCTTTAGAACTCTTTCTATTTTAATCTCTAATTTTTATGGGTACATAGTAGGTGTGCATATTTATGGGGTACATGAGATATTTTGATACAGGCATACAATGTGTAATAATGACCTCAGGGTAAATGGGATATTCATACCTCAAGCATTTATTATTTCTTTGTATTATAAACATTCCAATTATACTTTTAGTTATTATAAAATGTACAATTAAATTATTGTTGACTGTAGTCACCCTGTTATGCTATCACATGCTAGATCTTATTCATTCTATTTAACTATATTTTTTACCCATTAACCATCTCTACTTCCCCCCTCGCACCTTCCCCCAACCCTTCCCAGCCTTCAGTAACCATCATTCAACTTCTCTGTCTCCATGAGTTCAATTGTTTTACTTTTTAGCTCCCACAAATGAATGAGAACATGCAAAGTTTGTCTTTCTGTGCCTGGCTTATTTCACTTAACATGATGTCCTCCAGTTCCACCCATGTTGTTGCAGATGACAGGATCTCATTCTTTTTTTATAGCTGAGTATTACTCTATTGTGTATATGTACCACCTTTTCTCTGTCCATTTGTCTGTTGATGGACACTTAGGTTGATTTCAAATCTTGACTATTGTGAATAATGCTGCAGTAAACATGGGAGTGCAGATACCTCTTTGATACACTGATTTCCTTTCTTTTGGGTATTACTTAGCAGTGGGGTTTCTGGGTCACGTGGTAGTTCTGCTTTTAGTTTTTTTGAGGCACCTCCATACTGTTCTCCATAGTGGTTGCACTAATTTACATTCCCACCAACAGTGCACGAGGGTTCCCTTTTCTCCACATCCTCGCCAGCATGTGTTATTGCCCGTCTTTTGGATAAAAGACATCTTAACTGGGATGAGATGATATGTCATTGTAGTTTTGATTTGCATTTCTTTGATGATCGATTATGTTGAGCACCTTTTCATATACCTGTTTGCCATTTGTACTTTTTTTTTTTTTTGAGATAGGGTCTCACTCTGTTGCCCAGATGTGACAGGAGTGCAGTGGCACAATCAGAGCTCACTGCACCCGATTTCCTGGGTTCAAGCCATTCTCCCACCTCAGCCTCCCAAGTAGCTGGGACTAGAGGCATGTGTCACCACACCCAGCTAATTTTTGTATTTCTTGTAGAGGTAGAGTTTTGCCATGTTGTCCAGGCTGGTCTTGAACTCCTGGACTCGAGCAATCTTCCTGCCACAGCCTTCCAAAGCACTGAGATTAGAGGCATGGGCCACCATGCCCAAGCTGTATGCCATCTTTTGAGAAATATCTATTCAGATCTTTTGCCCATTTTTAATCAGATTATCTTTTAATTGGGTAATTAGATTTTTTTCCTATAGATTTGTTTGAGCCCCTTAGATATTTTGGTTATGAATCCCTTGTCAGATGGATAATTTGCAAATATTTTTTCCCGTTCTGTGGGGTGTCTTTTCACTTTGTTGATTGATTCCTTTGCTGTGCAGAAGCTTTTTAACTTGATGTGATCCCGTTTGTTCATTTTTGCTTTGGTTGTCTGTGCTTTAGGGTAGTACTCGAATCTTTGCCCAGAACAATGTCCTGGAGAGTTTCCCCAATGTTTTCTTGTAGTAGTTTGATAGTTCGAGGTCTTATATTTAAGTTTTTAATCTATTTTGATTTGATTTCTGTATATGATGAGAGATAGGAGTTTAGTTTTATTTTTCTGCATATGGATATTCAGTTTTCCTGGCACCATTTATTGAAATAACCATCCTTATTCCAATATATGTTCTTTTTTTTTTCCTTTTCTTTTTTTTTTTTCTTTTTTGAGACGGAGTCTCACTCTGTCACCCAGGCTGGAGTGTGGTGGCACAGTCTTGGCTCACTGCAACCTCCGCCTTGCAGGCTCAAGCAATTTTCCTGTCTCAGCCTCCTGAGTAGCTGGGACTACAGGCGCCAGCCACCACTCCCAGCTAATTTTTGTATTTTTAGTAGAGACGGAGTTTCACCATATTGGTCAGGCTGGTTTTGAACTCCTGACATCAGGTGATCCACCCACCTTGGCTGCCCAAAGTGTTGGGATTACAGGCGTGAGCCGCCGCACCTGGCCTAATATGTGTTCTTGACACCTTTGTTAAAAATGAGTTAGCTGTAGATGTATCGGTTTATTTCTGGGTTCCCTCTTCTATTCTGTTGTTCTATTTGTCTTTTTTTATGCCATTACCATGCTGTTTTGATTACCGTAGATCTGTAGTATAATTTGAAGTCAGGTAATAGATTCCTCCAGTTTTGTTCTTTTTGCTTAGGATGCCTTTGGCTATTTCAGGTTTTTCATGGTTCTGTATACACTTTAGGATTATTTTTTCTATTTCTGTGAAGAATGTCTTTGATATTTTGATAGGAATTGCATTGAGTCTGTAGATTGCTTTGTGTACTGTGGACATTATAACTAATTCATTCTTCCAATCTATGAACATGGAATATCTTTCCATTTTTTGGTGTCCTCTTCAATTTCTTGCATTAATGTTTCATAATTTTCATTCTAGACATCTTTTACTTCCTTTGTTAAGTTTTTTCCTAGGTATTTTATTTTATTTATAGCTATTGTAAATGGGATTATTTTCTTGATTTCTTTTTCAGATTGTTCACTGTTGGCATATAAAAAGGCTACTGATTTTGTATATTGATTCCGTATGCTGCGACTTTGCTGAATTTATCAGTTCTAATAGGTTTTTTTGATGGAGGCTTTAGGTTTTTCTTTCTTTTTTTTTTTTTTAGACGGAGTTTCGCTCTGTTGCCTAGGCTGGAGTGCAGTGGCGCGATCTTGGCTCACTGCAAGCTGCGCCTCCCGGGTTCACGCCATTCTCCTGCCTCAGCCTCCCGAGTAGCTGGGACTACAGGCACCCATGACCACGCCCGGCTAATTTTTTGTGTTTTTTTTTAAGTAGAGACGGGGTTTCACTGTGTTAGCCAGGATGGTCTCGATTTCCTGACCTTGTGATCCGCCCGCCTGGGCCTCCCAAAGTGCTGGGATTACAGGCATGAGCCACTGCGCCTGGCCCTCTCCTGCCGTTCTTTCAAAATCATCTTCAATGAGGTTGCCTTCTTGGCCTGTGCTTCCCTTTATTCATCTGGGGGCACTGGAGGCCAAGGAGCTGCGTGGAGTCTTCACCTGATGGAACTGATGGAAGTGGCATTTTTGGAGAGGCCTAGGACTGCCCCAACTAGGAGCACTGCTGACTTGCAGGCTGCTTGATCCTGGGGGTGCTGCCCCTTTGCCAGTGCTGTCCCCCAAATCCAACTGCAGTGGAATCTGGCTCTTCCTCCCAATATTTAAAAAATTATTCATAATTTTTTTTGGCAGGGTCTTGCTCTGTCACTCAGACTGGAGTCGTGCAATCATAGCTTACTGCAGCCTCAACTTCCCGGGCTCAGGTGATCCTCCCACCTCAGCCCCCTGAGTAGCTGGAACTACAGGCGTATGCCACCACACCCAGCTCATTTTTGTATTTTTTTGTAGAGGCAGGGTTTCACCATGTTGCCTATACTGGTCTCAAACTCCTGAGCTCAAGCAGTTCTCCCATCTTGGCCTCCCAAAGTGTTGGGATTACAGGCATGAGCCACTACGCCCGGCCTTATTTTCAATTCTTAGTGGCTCACGAACAGTCAGGATTCATATTTTCACTTAGACTGTTCTGTTTCTCATTCTTTTTTGAGGCTTCATCCTGCTCAGTCACCACCTTGTGATGCTTGGGGCTGTTTAGTAGGATGGATGATGTGTTTTTCTTTGTTGTAGGAAGGATCCAAAGATGAAACTTCAGAGGATGATCCACTGAAATTTTTAGGATCTGCTGATGAAGCAACCGTCTTTAGGCTTGTCATGAAAGCAACATTTTTAGGGGCAGTGTAACCCGTTGGTTTATAACTCTCCCGTACGTAAAGGGGAATCGGTAGCAGTGTTAGCAGGCACAGACTCAATTGGATTATTACTTTTCATCACTATTTTACCTTTTGATAACCTTCTAGCTGGTTTTACCTCTTCTGTTAGAAGAGAACCTCAGTTGAGGTAGAGTGGACAGGACCCCACTTGGGTTACTTTTTATTTATTTATTTATTTATTTATTTATTTATTTGAGACAGGGTCTGGCCCCGTTGCCCAGGTTGGAATGCAACTGGCACAATCATGGCTCACTGCAGCCTCATACTCCTGGGCTCAAGCCATCCTCCTGCCTCAGCCTCCCAACTAGCAGGGACTGCAGTCATGTGCCACCATACTCGGCGTTTGGTGGTTATTTATTTATTTTTTTTTTTGAGATGGAGTCTTGCTCTGTCGCCCAGGCTGGAGTGCAGTGGCGCGATCTCGGCTCACTGCAAGCTCCGCCTCCCGGGTTCATGCCATTCTCCTGCCTCAGCCTCCCAAGTAGCTGGGACTACAGGTGCCTGCCACCACGCCCAGCTAATTTTTTGTATTTTTAGTAGAGACGGGGTTTCACCATGTTAGCCAGGATGGTCTTGATCTCCTGACCTTGTGATCCGCCTGCCTTGGCCTCCCAAAGTGCTGGGATTACAGGCGTGAGCCACCGCGCCCGGTCTGGTTGTTCTTTTATCTCTGACAAGGCATTGTTCTCTGGATGCTTAAGTTTAGGAAGATCCAGCGTGGTAAATTCCAACCCAGGTTTGGAGGTAGAGCCACTTTTTCCATGATTCTGGGTTTCTTGTCTGTTCCCTTCTGATCTGATGCCCATCCAATTTCAAATTCCTCTTAGCATCAAGTGGACAAATGATGTGAGCCATTTGCTGATTTCATCTCTGATGGTAGCATTCTGTCAACTCTCACTGTCAGCCTTTTGCTCATCATAGTTTTTTTCTTATCATCTTTTTTTGCTTAAAAAATCAGAGCTTTGGCCAGGCACAGTGGCTCACTCCTGTAATCCCAGCACTTTGGGAGGCCAAGAGGGTGGATCACAAGGTCAGGAGTTCAAGACCAGCCTGGCCAAGATGGTGGAACCCCGTCTCTACTTAAAAAATACAAAAATTAGCCGGGCATGGTAATGGGCGTCTGTAATCCCTACTACTTGGGAGGCTGAGGCAGAGAATTGCTTGAACCTGGGAGTCGGAGTTTGCAGTGAGCCAGGATTGCGCCACTGCACTCCAGCCTGGGCAACAGAGCGAGACTCCGCCTCAAAAAAAAAAAAAAAAATTCAAAAAAAAAAATCAGAGTTTGATTTCTTGTGTGAGAGGACAAGTGCTCATTTCGGGGCTTTACCATTTGAAAGTCTTGCTAACAGCTGGGTTGGTTACGATCACTCTGGGAGGCGGGCACTGATTAAACATGTATATAGACACGGGTTCTAAGAAGTAGGCGTAGGGATGGAGTTATCTTGAAAGACAACTTCTGAGGGGAAAACCTTGACGCTCCTAACGCCATATCTTCAGTTGTGTTTCTGCCCTGCCTTGGGTCCCCTATGCCATAAGAGCAGCTTGGAGGAGGAGGAGGAGGCCCGACTGCGGGAGGTGGTGACCACCCCACTGGCTGGTGGGACAGGCATGGTGTTTCTCTTTCCTGCCTTAAAATGCCAGATTCTGTCATGACCTGCCTGGCGATCATTACCGTGATTTCCTGTCTGCTGAATTCCTGTGCTGCAGTTTCCTTCTGTGGGACATGAGGCTTTAGACTGGAATCTAGCTGCCAGGTATTTGGTGGGGTCCACCTCACTATCATGCCCTGTGCTGGAGCTGAGGCCCCAGGATCGCAGTGACTCTGCCTTTCCCCAGAGGGTCCCTGGTCATCTGGGCAGGAGACCTCCATGTTGTGCTCAATGTCACTGATTTACATTCTCCAGGCCTCCCTCCGTATCCAGAGCACCTCACCAGCCCACTTAGCCCTGCCCAGGAGGAGCTGAAAGAAGGGCAGGCCCCCAAGCAGCAGCAGGACTCAGAGGCGAGAGTGGCCCCAGCCGGGCCAGAAGCAGGTGAGTGAGGACAGTGAGGCGGCAGGATGAACAGTGTCCCGAGGCAGCACGCGATCACCAAGCGATGGTGCTGAGGAAAAGCCCTGGAAGCATGGGGCTGGGAGAGAGGGCTGGGAGACTGGTTGGGCTGGGCCGGACAGGCTTTCTGGGAAAGAGGCCCCTGAGACAGGCCTAAAAGAAGGTAGGTTTTGGCATTTTCAGCGTGAGAAAACAGTCTGTATAGAGGGGTGGGTTCCTCTGCGTGTTGGGGGCCTGGGCACATGGGTCCGGTGGAGTGAGGGGAGGGGGTAGATGGGTGTGTTGTGCCTGCCCAGGGTCTTTACGAGGGTCCCATCCACGGGGCAGTGTGTGTCCTGTGCCTAGCGCGGCGCCAGCATGGTGTTTCTCAGTAAACGCCCTCTTTCTGAAGACCTACTGGGAACTCTGGCTTTAGTCATCCTTCCAGACTTCTTTGTCTGCTTTTATTTAAAGGCAGTCCCTGCCTGTCCTTTCACAAAAGTGTATATCAGGGCATTTAGCGGAACACTTGCAAACAGTCCAGAGCTCTGTTCTCTGTCTAGTGTTCCTCTGCGGGGCTGGCTCCTCCACCTGGTCCTGCCGCTGGCCCGACTTTCAGTCTCTGGTTGCTTTCCCTGTGGTGATTTCTGGGTATCTTCCCCACTGGATCATCCTCCCTTCCCTGGGTTTCTCTTTCCAGCCAGTGTGTAAGTCTGGGCTCTGCTCATGGAGTTGGAGAGATGGGACCCTCTTAGGTGGGAAGGCAATGTTCCTGCCCCATTGCAGACCTGGAACGGTGTCCGGGAGCCTCCCAACCCTCTGTTCTTTTCAGGCTCATCAGGGTGACAGATGCTGAGGGACAAGTCATTAGCACTGGCCTGCAGGAGTGTTGGGGACATGGCCTTCGTAGCTCTTGTCTCACCTCTGAAGCCCTCGGGACAGAAGCCCTAGGCCTCCTTTCCCTGACAGGGACTTGCGCACGTCCAGGGCTGCTGGGGAGATGGCTGTGCACGCTGCAAGCCGCGGGTGTCCAGCAGCCGGTGTTGGGAGAGGCCCTCGCCGAGTCTTTCTCACGTGGCCGCCAGCTAGCACCAGCATTTTATCTTTGTTTTTTTTTTTTTTTTTTTTTTAATTTTTTTTTTTTTATTGATCATTCTTGGGTGTTTCTCGCAGAGGGGGATTTGGCAGGGTCATAGGACAATAGTGGAGGGAAGTGGGGAAGTGGACACAGCACATGTTTCAGAGAGCACAGGGTTGGGGGTAAGGTCACCGATCAACAGGAACCCAAGGCAGAAGAATTTATCTTAGTACAGAACAAAATGAAAAGTCTCCCATGTCTACTTCTTTCTACACAGACACGGCAACCATCCGATTTCTCAATCTTTTCCCCACCTTTCCCCCCTTTCTATTCCACAAAACCGCCATTGTCATCCCGGCCCGTTCTCAATGAGCTGTTGGGTACACCTCCCAGACGAGATGGTGGCTGGGCAGAGGGGCTCCTCACTTCCTAGTAGGGGTGGCCGGGCAGAGGCGCCCCTCACCTCCCGGACGGGGCGGCTGGCCGGGCGGGGGGCTGACCCCCCCACCTCCCTCCCGGACAGGGCGGCTGGCCGGGCGGGGGGCTGACCCCCCCACCTCCCTCCCGGACGGGGCGGCTGGCCGGGCAGAGGAGCTCCTCACTTCCCAGTAGGGGTGGCCGGGCAGAGGCGCCCCTCACCTCCCGGAGCACCAGCATTTTATCTTTGATTAAGCCAGAAGGAGAGTCTTTAGATGGGGAGTCTCCAACCTTCCCCACCAGGGACATCCTGCCAGGCATGGGGCCTGGGGAAGAAGGGCGGAGGCACCTGTGGCCGCAGCAGAGCCCCACAGGAGTGTGGGGGCCTTTTGGGAGTGGGGTGGGGTTGGGGTTGGGTGGTGGGACCTGGTGAGGGGCTTCCTCCTGAGGGTTCTCTCCCTCCCTCTCCAGCTTCTATCTCCCTGGGGACTGTGGGGACCCAGATCAGTCTGGGGTCCTTCCTGGTCTTTCCCCATCGTGGTCTGGTCTGGCCTGGCTGGAAAGGCACTGCATGAAAACCCAGGCATCAGATCCCAGGCATGTGGTCCGATGATGATGGAAAAGCTGTTCACGTGGTCTTGGCGTGGCTGGGCTCCCAGCCCCTCCGTGTCCACAGTCTGTGTCCCTCTGCCTAGAGTCTGTGCTTCCCTGAGAGGGCAGGGTGCCAGGACCCTCCCTCACATTAGGGACCCCTGAGAGCTGGGTGCTGAGACCTGGGGTCTCACGTCTCCAGCACATTGCTGTGATCACCTGCCACTGCCTTGGTTGTCCTTGTCACTGCTGTCCCAGCAGCTCCTTGCCTCCACCCAACCTGGGAGTTGAGTGAGACTCACACAGACCCAGGCAGGAATCTCAGGTCCCAGTGCCTCCTCTCTGTCACCAGTGAGTGTAGTGGCAGACAGGTCGTGGACGCTCTGTGTGGATTTGTCATGTGGATGAGCAGCTGAGCATGGGTGCAGCACTCACCACCTCTAGTCCACAGAGGCCTCTTAGGGTGGTCTGGGGGCATGCAGGGCCCCTGGGGTTCATTGTCTTTCACAGATGGTAACTAATGTCACCAGAACTCTTGGGGGTGGGGTCCTGCCACCCTCTCTGCTGTGCCCAGGGTCTCTGCTTCTGTGTCCCACTCCAGCTGACCCCTGACCTCTGGGCTCCCTGGCTCCTGGCCTTGCAGTTTGATCTCCCCTCCCCTGATGTCCTTAGCTTGGCCTCCAGGAATGAGGCAGATGACAACAATCAGGACTGAGTGACCGTGCAAGGCAGTGCCTGTGTGGCAGGGCTCAGTGAGCAGGACCCCTGCAATGTGCTGTGAGCACTGTGGGGAGATAGGGCCCGGGCTGAGGCTGGAAGCCAGGACTGGGCCGAGTGACCTGGGGGACAGGGTGGTGAGGTCCACTTGGAAACCAACATAGACTCCTTTGCCAGGTGGTGGTGTGGCCATCAAGACAGAGGCACAGTCTGAAGACGAGATGACGCCTGAGCGGCTCTTTCTGGGGGTGTCCCGAGGCCAGACCGAGTGTAGAATCCCCCGAGGGCCCAGGAACAGGCCTGGGGGCCCCAGCCGTCATCAGGCCCAGGGCATGCCCAGGGTGCGGGCAGGGGAGCCACGGCCACCGGGGGCCAGTGGGGAGACGCCCCGAGTCCTCTCCCGCAGGCGGCAGCGGGCATTCCCCTGCCCCGACTGCGGGCAGAGCTTCCGCCTGAAGATCAATCTGACGATTCATCAGCGGACCCATGTGGAGGAGGGGCGGCAGGAGGCCCCCGGCCGCTCGCCCACCAGCTGCGGGGACAGCCAGGCCATGCTGGAGCCGGGGGAGGTGGTGGTACCCGGCCCTGTCATCCGCTGGCTCCCCGAGGAGCCTGAGGGTCGCCGCTCCGTGGCAGGGGGCCGTGCCTTGGTGGGGCGGCGGCCTGCAGCCAGCAAGATGTACCACTGCAGCGAGTGCCTGCGCTTCTTCCAGCAGCGCAAGAGCCTGCTGCTGCACCAGCGCCTGCACACCGGCAATGGCCAGGGCTGGCCCGCCTGCCCCTACTGCGGCAAGGCCTTCCGCCGGCCCTCGGACCTCTTCCGGCACCAGCGCATCCACACCGGTGAGCGGCCCTACCAGTGCCCCCAGTGTGGCCGGACCTTCAACCGCAACCACCACCTGGCCGTGCACATGCAGACCCACGCCCGAGGCCAGGTGGGCCCACACTTCCCTGCCGCCCCCGCCCGCCACGGGAGCCTGCCCCTGCCCTGGCCCAGCCGGAAGGAGGAGGGCTGACCTGGCAGGAGCCCACAGAGGACCCCTGGCGGGGTCTCTCCCCTGTGCCTGACGCAGGTTCTTCCTTTTCCTGGGATGGAGAGAGGTTTGTTGTTTTTACCCATTCAAATGGGAAGCTAGCTGCCCTTCTGGTGACATTGTGTGTGACCGGGTGCTTTCTGTTTCCTGTTTGCACTCTTCGCTGCCTTTTCTGCATTCCTGACTTCTAAAAGATGCCTTAAGGCTTAAGGGATGCCATATTTTTGATAAGGCCTCTGGTAGGTACCACAGCCAAGAGGACCAGAGATCATGGCCCTTCCAGTATGGGGGCGATAGAGACATCGGGGACCTGGGATTTTTGTTTTGTGCAGAGATCTCCTGCCTGCTGTCACCATGAGAAACAGTGGAGTGGAGTGGATGGATGGCCTGACTTGAAGAAAGGGCCCTGGAAAGTTTTCTACTTTGCTATTTTGAAATTTTTTTCCCTTCTTATAGAGACTTTGAAATACTTTTGTAAATGTGTGTAGTTGTTAATGGAACTTTGCCTTTTGCAAAGTCGGAAAGAGTCGGCTTTTCCATGTGAGGCTCGCAGAGCTGAAAGGGGAGCTACGTCCACCAGCCTGTGGGTCTTTTGGTTTTTTTTTTGTTGTTGTTGTTGTTTTTTTAAGATGGAGTTTCACTCTTGTTGCCCAGGCTGGAGTGCAATGGTACAATCTCCGCTCACTGCAACCTCCGCCTCTCGGGTTCAGGTGATTCTCCTGCCTCAGCCTCCTGAGTAGCTGGGATTACAGGCGCCCACCACCACTCCCGGCTAATTTTTGTATTTTTAGTAGAGACAGGGTTTCATCATGTTGTCCAGACTGGTCTCGAACTCCTGATGTTAGGTGACCCGCACACCTCGGCCTCCTGAAGTGCTGGGATTACAGGCGTGAGCCACCACTCTTGGCCCAGCCTGTGGGTTTTGATGGGGATGTCTTGGCTGCTGTCTTGGAGGCACAGTGTCTCCCCATGTGTGTGTTTCTTGGCCCAGAGTGACTCCCAGTATTCCTAGTCCTTCCCCACAGGATAGTCACATCCATTATTTACTTTTGTTGTCAGCTGGGAGGGGAAACTGAAGCCTGGACACGTCTCCCCAAGGGCTCAGTGTTCATGGGTGTGTAAGATCCATTGACTGGACCCCAGAAAGCACCCTGAGGGGCAGTGCAGAGAGAGCCCAGGAAGCCCCTCCACTAGAGGAGGCCCTTGGTCTGGCTGAGGACCACGTCCACCCTGGGCCTCCAGGCCTGCTTTTCACATTAAAGGCGGGGCAGTCTCCTCTCAAAGGAGTTCTCCCTTGAGCACTTTGGGCTCTGGGGCAGAGTTGGGCTAGGAGATCTGGGTGAATCCTTTAGTCACAGCTAGTCTCATGTTCCTCTTCTGTCAAAGGGGTCATGGCCCCAGTGTGTCCTACCTCAGAGTTGTCAGGGTCAAAGTAACAGGCACTGGGACAAATATGAAGCCTAGCTTTGTGCTTCCTTTCAAATTCAGGGCCTCCTTTCTACTCCATTCCAGCCTTTTTTTCCTGTCAGAATCCCTCAGGAAGGACCTTTATCTTCTGGAGTGAGTGGCAGTTCCACTGGGTTCAGTGAAAGAGTCGCCCATGGGGCTCTGTTCCCCAGGAGTCCTTTGTATTTTGGTGAACAAATTCTTACCAAAGCATGAGATTCGGACTGTAGAAGTTCAGACTGCCTCAGTTCAGACTGCCTCATGGGGCAGTCTGGAGGTCAGCTGGCTTCTGGTGTCTCTCATCACACCACTGCGGACGCTGTCTGTAGAGCAGCCTTGGTGTGGGTGACTCTGAAGCTGGAGTGATGGGACCCCAGCTATCCTTGTTTTTTACCGCCTTGTCTGGCACTGTGACCACGCTTCAGGGCTGCTTCTGGGGGTCTTGGTCCCTGGATGTGCCATTTCCTTGCCCTTCTGACCCTCACACTTCTTCCAAAGTCTTGAGCAGAGTTGGGGGCCAATGGTAGCATTGCTGTCATCTCTGGGAGGAGAGTGAGTATACAAGTCAGTGACAGTTCAGCCAGGCTCCCTTGGGTTTGGGAAGAGGCACTGCCCTTCTGTGCTGTGGATCCTGCTTGTCTGCTCTGGAGTCCCCCCACCCTTGCCAGGAGCTTCACAAACCAGAGACGGGCTGTCAGCAAGAGCTCAGACAGGATGTGGTGCAAGTGCAGGTGCACGAGTTTAACCCTCAGCTGCAGGAGCTAGTCTCAGGTGTTCTGGGGATGCCTCAGGCTAAGAATTTTGCCGACTTTCTGGGCTTGGTTGGCTAATGCCAAATGCCCCTGCTTAAATATCACAAGGTGCTGATTCTCCTTTTTTCTTTTTTTCATACCAATGTGCTCAAACTTTGAGCTAGGTCTTGTGAGTTTGCCTAGCACTCAGACCTGTTTAAGTAACGTTCTTTACATTGAAACAAGTCAACCGAAGCTTTGTGGTGCAGGAGCTGAGGGTGCCCCAGACTCAGTGGGAGCCCTGGTTGGGCCCCAAACTCTCCCAGCAGGGTCCTCGGTTTCCTCATTTGTGAAATAAATGAGTGGGCCACGACGTTAATAAGCCCAAGAGAACTGTGAAGGTGGTAGTCCCTTGCCCTAATTGGTGCTCAATAAAGTTGTTGGCATAAACGAGTGCGTGCGCTTGATCTGGTTTCTGCTCTCTGGGAGGTGAGTGGCCGTGCGGGGCGGTGGCAGCTGGCGACACCTGCGGGCTGTTGGGCACCAGCCCGGGGCGGGCGCTCGCACCTGTCGGGCGTGCACAAAGGCCCGGCGCACGCTGTGGGGGCGGGGCCTCCCGGGTTGGCCAATGAAAAGCTGGCACTGGGTCGGAGGCGCCAGCCAAGTGGGGGGCGGAGCTTCCACCACCGGCCAATGGGGATCTGGCTTCGGGATGTGGGCGGGGTCCACCCGGTCGCAACCCGTTGAGTCTCTGCACAGCTGCCGCGCTGACGCGTTTTCCGCGTGTCCCGAGCCCCGGCGGCCCCGCGAGCTCGGTCCGTGCGGGGAAAGCAGGGCTGACGCCGTCTGCGGAGAGGACTGCGCAGCCGGGCTTGTGTGGGGCCGCGCGTAACGGCAGCGGCTACTCCCTGCCCAGGCCGGCCAGCACAGGGCCATGGCCGAGGCGGCTGCGCCTCCGGTAAGGGCGACCCTCATGGAGGCTTGGGGACGTGGAGCCGAGTCCTGAATTCGCCAGGAGGATGTTCCACCCCCCACCATCTCCGGCGACCTCCTGGAACTGGGGAGGGCTCAGCCCGGGTGGCAGGAGGAGGACAAGGACTCCTAAGGCCACACGATAAACGCCCTTCTCGCTCTCCGTTTCCTTGCCTGTGGAATAAGGTGATTGGCAAACACAAGATTTGGAGGTTCCCTCCAGCCCTGATATCCACTGGACCCGGCTCTGGGGGGACAGTGGACTGTGGACGTCTTCATTCCAGACTCTCCAAGATTCCTCTTTCTGGACCCGCCTTTTGGCACCGCCCCCAAGTCGACCATCTCAAAGATCCACCCCTCCCTCCAAGCTGAGACCAGTGCCATGGCCTGGGGAGGGATGTCCGCTGCAGTCTGCTGGAGCCAGAGTCTGGCTCCTGGCTGTGAGGTGGGCTCTAGACTTGAGCTCTGATTCCAGTCAGGAGGATTCTGATGCCTGCCCACTCTTTCTAAAATTCCCTGACAAGTCCTTCTGGCTGCTGCTGAGGGGATCTGCATTGTGAGGACTTTTGGTTAGGGGCTTCAGGCTCAGGCTTGACCTAGGCCATTGCTGGCCTGCATAAGAACTGTTGAGATTTTCATAGGTTTTTAAAGGTAGAGGGGCCATCTCCTAGTATAAATAGCTTTGCAGTGGTTTTGGATCCATTCCCGGGTGGCACATTTGTGGCAGGGCATTGCAGGGAGGTGAGGATGTTTGCCCCTAATCTGTGAAGACGGTGCTGCCTCCTCTGAGCTCCACTTCATTGTATCAGACAGAGGCCAGACTTGAGGATGAATAGCCATGCTGTGTGGGGAAGGAAAGGGCCAGGTATCTGGTGTCTGGTACCTGGTATGTGTGGGACGCTTTGCTGAGTACGTTTATTGGGGAGGTCTCTGAGAAACTCAGTTGCACAGAATTGGATTAATCACAGTCTTTGGTTCATAACACATTCAGATCACTGGTCCATAGCCTTTATATTTGTTTTTAAGAATATAACAGGTGCTAATGTCATACACCATGAGTGCTTTTTCATATCTTCAGTGCATTTCATCCACACAGCCACCTTAGGAGTGAAGGAAGTTAGGATGTCCCCATAAGTGAGAAAACAGAACCTTGGATAAGTAATGTGGCTTGACCTCAGGTTGTGCAGGATTCAGATGGCAGGAGAGGCACTGAGTCAAGTTCTAGGTGAGTTCCATTTCCAGGAGCACTCCCTTTATACCTCAACTGTTCCCTGCTGAGGCATTCCTGGATTTTAAATTTTATTTCTAGCAATACACAATATATTTTCCACCTCCTGTGAACAGGGTATTCCTTGTAATGTTTCTTTGTTCTTTCCTTTTCTGCTTTCAACTTTCTCTGGCCCCTGTTGCCTGGCAGCTAGGAGGGTGGAGACCACCCTGGGGCTGGTTGACAAGGCACCTGGATCATGGGGATGTGGTATCAGGCGGGGCAGGAAGTCACACCAGTAGATGTCAGGGTGGATGGGCCTTAGAAATCACCAAGGCAGAACAACAGGCCTTTCTCCCCTTGAGCCCACTAAGGGGTGTGGGCTTGTTCTAGAAGAAGGTGAGGAGTCAGATTGCTGCCTGGGTGTGTGTGCACTGGACCCCAGGTCCCCTGGCAGGTGTTCTGGACTTGGGCTTCTCACCATTTCTTGGCTCCTGCTGCTGGCCGTGTTCCCTAGTTGGTTGAGTAATTGGCTGAGTAAATAGAGCCAGTGAGTGGTAGAGCTGGGATCCACTCTCTGTTCATTTATGATGGTAATGTTAGTTATGTCATTTTCCGTTGCCCCGGCTCTTGGTTCAGGATTCTTCTCGTGGGGGCTTTGTGCGGTCCAGTGTCTGCTGTCTTTGACTATTAGGTGGGGTCTGTTTGGGGGTCTGACCAGTGAGGCCGCCTGGCACTCAGAAGACGTCTCCCCCATTCCGGAGAATCCTGACCTTCCTGTATTTGGGAATGGCTCTGGGCTGCTCTCCTTCTGGTGGCTGACTTGCGAACTTGTGTCTGGTTGCAGGACTGGCATTGCGGACTGACCTCCAGGGAGAGGCCCAGATCTGATCTGCAGAGATCTCCCTTCCGGCTATCGTGGCTGCTGTTCAGGTGGTGGAGAAGAAGATGGAACCCCAGGCTGCCTGGCTACAGAGCCTGGAGGGATGCATGTGGACAGCCAAGAAGAAGCTGGCTGACTGCGAGAAGGTGGCTGTGGAGTTCGGGAACCAGCTGGAGGCAAGTGGGCCGTGCTGGGGACCCTGCTGCAGGAGTACGGGCTGCTGCAGAGGTGGCTGGGGAACGTGGAGAACCTGCTGTGCAACAGGAACTTCTGGATCCTGCAGTTGCCCCCGGGCAGCAAGGGGGAGGCCCCCAAGGTACAGGAGCTGGGTGTAGGAGGAGAGGCCCTGCCTGGACTCTGTAGGGTGGCCATATGCATAGCGTCGCCACAGCAGCATACCCTTGGCTGCTGAAGCCTGACCTCTGGGCGTCCAAGGCAGTCACTAGTTGACTTTAAAGGGCTTGAAAAATGTCAGAAGAAAATTGTGACACAGAAAAATGTCTGCTTTGGAAGATGGAATGGGGTTTGTTGGGAGAGATATGGTTGTGCAGCAGTGGTTGTACATGGTCTCTGAGAGTGAGGACTGGCACAAGTAGGAGATATGTGTGCCTGGGAGAGGGGAGAACCCAGGAGCCCCGATCCTAGATCCCATTAGTCACTGGTTCTGCCCTTTAGCTGAAGGCAGTGTGATGGAGTTGAGTTTGCATTTGCTTAGTAGTTTGGCCTGCGATGCCCTCTGCTTCGGGGGAAGGGAGAGGGGACGAGTTGGTTTTGGCTGCTCCGTGAAATGGTTGTTATTCATGGTGGGTGCAGGCAACTTGTACTTCCAGGTGCCTGTGACTCCTGAAGACACGGTCGGGTATTTCTCAGAGCAGCAGGGTGGCGGCCTGGAGGACTCATAGAAGGAGTTCTGCAAATGTGTTGTGAAGGGGAGCTGCGACACCCTGAGCTTCCTGGGTGAGAGGCTGGCCTCTGGGGGCCTCCACACCTTGGTTTTACTCCTTTATTCAATCACATGAGACTCCTGAATCTCAGAGCAGGAAGCATGTGGAGATCATTTCTTCAGCCCTCTGTCTTCAGGCAGGTAGAAGGTATCTGTCATTCTCATTTTGAAGTTTTATGTAATGAAATGCAGAGGTTATGTGACTTGTTCCAGATTTCTTGGAGTAAATAAACTGGAATCTGCTCCTCGCTGTCCTGCCCTTCGCGTGGTGCCAGAGGCAGCTCCTGCGTGCACACCTGTGGCTCACCAGCCTATCTGCTCCTGGGGAGCTGGGGCCTCCCCTGGTTTACATCTGCATCTCTAGGACTCCCACGCTGCACTCTGCACACTGAGTTCTCAGGAGATTCCTGCTGAGCAAAGAAGGATGAATTGTAGGCCTGCTTTTTTTTTTTTTTTTTTTGAGACGGAGTTTTGCTCTTGTTTCCCAGGCTGGAGTGCAATGGCGTGATCTCAGTCACCACACCCTCCGCCTCCCGGGTTCAAGTGATTCTCCTGCCTCAGTTTCCTGAGTAGCTGGGACTACAGGCATGGGCCACCACACCCGGCTCATTTTATATTTTTAGTAGAGACGGGGTTTCTCTATGTTGGTCAGGCTGGCCGCGAACTCCCAACCTCAGGCGATCCTCCCGTCTCGGTCTCCTAAAGTGCTGGGATTACAGGAGTGAGCCACCAGGCTTGGCCAGGCCTGCTTTTAAGGATGCCCCAGGTCCAGAAAATCAGGGCCAGGCCTGGGAAGTTCGCTCCTTCAGGCAGGTGTGCGTCTTCGTGTGAGACTTGATCAGACCTGGGTTTTTGTAGCTACCCCACTCCGAAGCTCTCCTGCGTGAACCTGGAATTCTCACTGCTTTGGGCAGGTGAGCAGTTGGCTTTTTGTCCAGTCTCTCCCCTTGTTGGGAGGCTGAGGCCCAGAACACAGTGCCTTCCCTCTCTTTGCCTGGCTGCAGAGGTTCCTCCTTCAGAAAAGGGTCCCAGTGTGCTGTGGGAGGCAGGGTGAGGAGGCTGTCCGGCCTCAGGCGAGGAAGGAGAAGCACGTGGAAGGAAGGGCAGCAGGAAGCCTGAGCCTGACTGCCATGGATGGCCAGACCCACTCTTGGGCCTCAGTTTCCTCATCTGTCTGGACTAGGTGACTTGTCTATGTGGGCAGTGGATGGGAACCCTTCCTCTTGGCCTCATGGCACTCACTTCTAGCCCACGAAAACTGAGAGGCCTTGCCCACCCTACTCTCCATGCCCCTCAACACACGCCTTGAAGAGGCTGCTCCAAGCCTAGCAGAACACCCTCCCTTTCCAGGCCTGCAGAGGACAGCCCTGCCACTGCCCTTTTCCTCCCCACAGGCCAGGCCACCACCAAGCCAGATCTGGCACCAGTGGAGAAAGGAGACAGGCAGGCAACTGCAGCCTGCCCAGTGCGGAGAGGGGCCAGAGCCCGGGCACTGGTGAGTCCCTCAGGGTGTGGGCCTGGGCCTCTCCACCTGCATCTGGTAAGGGCATCTGGTGTCAGAAGGCCCCCTTGGAGAAAGAGAGGCAGAGGTGGGGGGAAGTGAACTGCTGGGCCTCACAGCTGGTGGTCAGGGCCAGACCCGGGTGTTCTGACACCCAGAGAGGGCCTGGGCCATTTCCCATACTCCATGTCCCTTTGGAGCCATCGCTTGGCCTGAGACCAGTCTGGAGGCTTGAGGGGAAGGGCAGAGGGCATAGCAGATACCAGGAACCTGAGACAGGCCGTCTTGGTGCATGCAGGGTTCCGGGAGGAGCGACGGGCTGGCGGCCTCCGTGAGACCTGCCCTGACACTGCATCTGCTCCCAGGGCCCTTGGTGCCTGCGTGCATGTCCTCCTCACTTTGCAGCCTAATCCCTGCTTCCTCTCCAGGCTTCACTCTCCTTGGGTGAAGGGACTGAGTCTTGCTGTGTTATCCCCCTCCTCTAGCACCTTACACAGTGCCTGGCATGTACTGAGATTATAAATAATATATAATTACTAAATGAACAGTGAACCAGAATAGAAGCTCAGTTTCCTCCATTTTTCAAATAATAGCATTGGATCAGAATGCAGTTTTTTTTTTTTTTTAAAGGTGAGAACCCTTTATTCCAGTGACAACCAGAAACATATAACATGGGGACAATGGGACCATTCTAGTTGAAGGACAGGAACCCTGGAGCTGGTTGCTCAGAACACAGTGGATCATGCCAAGATACTGCTGCTTGCTTTCTAGATTCTTAGATTTGGGGAGGAAGGCTCCCCTGTGAAGCAGACTCTTTGAGTAGGTAAATTAAGTCACAGTGAGCCCAGAGTGGGGAAGAAGGTGGGGGTTGACAGGGGTACTGAGTGGCTGGCATGTAGGTCCAAGGCTAAAAGTGGCATTTCCAGGCACCTGCAGGGGGCAGGGGCACCAGAGAGAGAGCAGGGTTGAGTAAGGGGTGGGGTGTGGCAGGATGCAGGTCACATAGCCCAAGCTGGGGAGCCCTGAGCGAGAGGCCAGCTGGGCAGAGCGTGGCTCTTGTGGTGTCACTGAGCGTGGCTCTTGTGGTGTCACTGAACGTGGCTCTTGTGGTGTCACTGAGCGCTATTACAGCAGCAGCCTGGCCAACAGCTCCTCCCCTGTGGTGCAGGGAGGGGAGCTGAGCCCAGGCACTGCAGCCACCCCCGTCTTGGGCTGGCCCCCTGCAGCAGGTGTGGGCAGGACTGGGGCATGTTCAGAGGCTGTGGCCGGTGCCACAGTCCCCAGGGCTGAGCAGCTCCTAGGGGGATGCAAAGCAGCAGGCAGGGCCTGGCCAAAGAGCTGCAGGCACGGCTCTGCCATGAGGCTGGGCTTGCACCTGAAGGCAGCTCAAGGAAGCGTGGTGGGTGGAGGAATGAGACCTGCTCAGGGGATTAGGGTTGCCCTACGGTCTGGGTAGTCCTTGCCATTCTAGCAGTTACTTCTTGTTTTCCATTCTCTGTAAACTTTTCCAGATTTCTCCAGGAGAGAGCTTTGTTTACCCCCAAGGACTGGGCTTCACTCCTAAAAGCTGCTTCTAAACCCTTTGCGTGCAGGCCCCAGACAGTGTGGGTGCATGACTGCTTTATCTGTTGGATGTTTCCACAGGCAGGCTGTTGCTGCCAGAATTCTAGAAGCAGTGTAAACGGGCTGCTCATTCATTAGGTACGGGCAGGGTCTGGGCACTGGACTTTCAACACTTTCCTCCCGTGATTCTGGTGCCGTTAGTTTGAAAATCACGGCTCAGAGATCCCTCTGAACAGAAGGTGACCCGCCTCTAGCCATTGAAAGTGTCTATGTTTTGATTATGCAAATGGATTCTTACACGAATATGTTCTTACTAAGCAATGTGGAGGTCATGGGTAAAGCTAAGCGGCTCTCTGCTGGCCGCCCACCCAACCCCAGGCCCCTCCCAGGGTAGCCACTGGGATCATTCTGCTGCATAACCTTTCAGGCTATTTTCTCATGCACATACTTACTTGTGTGTACTGTGGAAAAATACAGGGGTTAAGAACACACAGATATACACTACGTATCTTCTGCGGTTTGCTGTTTTCACTCAACAATATGTCTTAAGGATCTTTTCGTGTTGATACATTTTGATCAATTTCCTCTCGAAACGGTTTCCAGGGCCCTGGTTAATGGTGGAGCCAGCCTGGTGTGTGGCAGCCAGGTCGGGCTGGTGTCTTCAGAGTGGCTGTGTCAGAAGGGCCTCGTGTATGACAGAAGTAAGTGAGCTGTGCCCTGGCTATAAAATCTGGCAGCGTTGAGCGACTGGACAGCTGTTAGATATGGGTGGCTTGGAATGTTCTCCATTCATTCATTTATTTAACAAAAAATGTGCCTACCCTGTGTCAAGCCTGGAGCAGGAAGAGGAGCAGTAACTATTCCCTGATCTTTAGATAGGCCTTAGAGGTGGGCACAGATTGGTGAGGTCGCCCAGTCCTTGAAGGACACCCACCTGAGGGCACTGTAGGATCTGTATTTGGCTGCTGTAACAGAGACTGAAGAAAACAAAACCAAAACCGCAGCTTCCACACGGCAGGGGGTGGTCTCCCTCCCGACAGAGCTTGTTTGGCAGCTCACAGGCCCAGGCTCCTTCCAGCCTACCGCTCCACCATTCCTGGGGCCAGGCCTTGTTGCTGTGGTTCGAGATGGCCCGCGACCATGCCCACGGCCCTGTTGAAGGAAGCAAGGGGATGGGCTGGGGGTTGGGGTGCCCTTTCCCTTTTCCTTTAGTTGATGCCTTTCCCTTTAAGCAAACACATTGGTTTCTTGTACATTTAGTACTTACTGTGCACTTTATAAACATTGACCCATTTAAGCTTATTCCAACTCTCAGTTTCCTCAGATCATAGATGAAGAAACTGAGGCACAGAGAGGCCGAATCCACTGTCAAAGGTCCTGTAGCTGGAGGAGGCAGCGCCCCTCACATCCATTAGTCAGACCAGCCACAGGGCACACCTACTTGCAGGGAGGCCCAGCAACAAGGTCTGGAGTCTAGGAGGCCACATGGCCAGCAAGACACCAAGTGCTCTGTTAGTGTTGAAGCGGGGTGGATGGCATTGGAAGATGGCTGGTCATCCCCGTCACAGCTCACAGCCCGTCATTCACAGACCAAGCTCCCCTGGCTTGACTCACTGCCATGTCACACGTCCCCAGGATGTGCTGTGCCTTTGCTGGGACCTACAGTTCTGTTGGGAGTCTCTTTGGTGTCATGGTCCCAACTGAGGCTGTGAGAGGAAAGATGTCCTATGACACCTGCTGCCCTCAGGGCCTCTTCCTCTTTCCCTTAGACGCAGGCCAGCTGGAACGTCCCCAGGCGTTCTGTCCTGGATCAAGCAAGAGGAAGGGGCAAGTGGGAGGAGCCAGCAGGGCCCACAGGAGACCACTGTGGCACACCTGTGCTCAGGTAAGGCATGCTGGGCCATGTCTCCTCAGGCCTGTATCCCTGGGCCTTAGGAGACATGGCGTCCCCTGGGGGGCCTCACAGCGCCTCTAGTGGGGCCTTCTCCTGGGCGAGGCTCCTGAGGGAAGGCAGTGCGCAGCCTTGGCTGTGTCTCTGCAGAATCTTGTATGCTTGCTGCGTGGTGTCCTCCCATGCAGTTGCACGAAATCATTCTTTTATTCCTGATCCTGTTTCCTGTTTATTTCATGAACTTGTCTGTAGGCAGCATGGTGCTGGGCGCTGCAGGGGCTCATTAATGCATGAGACACAGATTCCACTCAGGAGAGAGAAGACGAACACAGACACAGTACACGGTGGGAAGGGGCACTTCCATGTCTGCAGCCAGAGAGCCCTTTCAGAATCTGACCCAAAAGATGGCCAGTATTCTAAGAAAAAGCACATATGCTTACGATGTGCAAACAGCTGAAGGTGTTCTTTCAACTATAGTAAAAGGGGTGTCTCGGTGGCCACAGGCGGCCCAGATGAAGGTGCTGCTGGGGAAAATGTCACCACGCTGGTCTTGGGAGGCTCCATGAGAGGGAGGTGGGACTTGAGAGGGGCTTAGAGCCTGGGTGAGAGGCAAAGAGGAGGCCAGAGACCTTCTGGGTAGAGAGGACCCTCGGGCCAAGGCTCAGAGGTGGATGAACGGGGGAGCCTTAGGTGGAACAGCACAGGGTGGAACCCGGCAGAGGACAATGGGAGCTGATGGAGGCTAGGCCAGAGTGGGGCCTTCAGTGATGCTTGAACCCCAGGCTTCAGACTCCAGAAGAGCCAAGGGCAGGTGGCCCGGCTGCAGAGCCTGTGGCAGGCAGGCCTCACTCACTATACCCTTCTGTGTCCTTTGCCTGCAGAGACCTGTCTGGGCCGCAGAGAGGAGTCTGGAGGTAGGGTCCAAGGGCCACGAGCCAGTTTGGGCTGCTGGAGGGGGGCCTGGCAAGGAGGGCTCTCGGGGAAGCACCTGTGGGGGTCTGCTTCCTGACCCCAGGGAGCTAGAGGCCTCCCTCCCTCCAGGCCCCCCGAGCCAGGCTGAGCCAGCCGCTAGGGGCACGGAGCAGTGCCCACCTTGCGCCCAGTGTGGCCAGAGCTTCGGCCAGAAGGAGCTCAGTGCGCCGCACCAGCGCGTGCATCGTGGCCCCCGGCCTTTCGCTGGTGCTCAGTGTCCCAAGAGCTTCACGCAGCGGACCACCCCCGCCAGCCACCGTCGGGCGCACGTGGCCGAGTGCACCTACACCCGCGCCCAATGCGGCAAGACCTTCCTCCAGCAGTCGACGCTCACACCCACTACTGCGCGCACATCAGGGAGAAGCCCTACGAGTGCGCCAAGCTCTTTGGCCGCCTGTCCACGCTGCTGGAGCACCGGCACATGCACACGGGTGAGCGGCCCTTCCAGTGCACGCAATGTGGCTGCTGCTTCAGCCGCCTGTCCACGCTGCTGGAGCACCGGCACACACACATCAGCGAGAAGCCCTTCCAGTGTGCGCAGTGCGACAAGCGTTTCACGCGTCTGGCCAACCTGACCGTGCACCAGAGAGTGCACTTGGGCGAGCGCTCCTTCCAGTGCGCCCAGTACAGCAGGAGATTCATGCAGAAGCCCGGCTTCCTGCGTCATCTGTGTGGCCACTCGCAGGAGAAGCACTATCCTTGCAGCCCTTGTGGTGAGAGCTTCACCTGTCCCTCCTGGCTTGTGCGTCACCAGGACAGCCATGCTAGCCAGGCCTCTCCATCTTGCCTGGTTTGTGAGAGGGACTCCTCGACCGATGAGCCGCCCACGGGCCTCAGGGGTGCAGTGTGGGGGAGCACCCCTAGTAATCCTTCTGCCGCACTCAGATTTGAGGGCACTGGTACAGAGCTGGGCCTCAGGAGGTGCCCTGGGGACAGGCAGCGGGGCAGTGGTGATCAGGAAGGTCTTGGGTGGGGGTCCCTTGCCCAGTTCTCTTTCTCGCGTGAAGATGGAGAATGTGGGTAGCACCCAGAGAGCTCCCTAAAGGGGCTCTGAGGGCCCAGGGGCAGTTGGTGCCCCTTAAATCTGAGCAACCTCTCCTGGGGGCCACTTCTTGGCCAGGTCAAAGTATTCTGGCCATGGTCTTGGCTTCCCGGGGGAGGGCTGTTCTCCCAGGCACTGAGATTGCCCATGGGCCTTCTCGTTGCAGGGAGGCGGCTGGGATAGAGGCCAGTCCCAAACACCTGAGCCTCACTGAGGGGAAGGCCTGGGCTTGGAGATGGGGTGCGCAGGAGTGGCTGGCTTTGCCTTGTTCTATTAGGCGAGTGATTTTCAGAGACAAAGGTCCAAGTTAGGAGACGTAATTACTCAGTGCTTTGAAGGGACATCCAAGGTGCTCACTCTTAGCCATAGCCGTTGGTTTCCTGGATGCTGACTGTGAAGATTCTAAAGTGCTTCCTAGGGTGGGCGGTGGTGGCAGGAGGCCTTGGACGGAGTCCAGGCCAGACCCAGCCTCCTGTTTAATAGGCTGAGCCCAAGCGTCCCTCAGATGCGAATCCAACAGCCTTGGTGAGTTGTAAGATTTCATGGAAACTTTCCCTGACTTCTGTCTCCCCCTTGCTCCCCATTACCTGGGAAAGGCAGCTTTGTGGGCCATGTGTCCCGGAAGGGCCTGGGCTGGCTGTGGCCCAGTGCTCAGGACCAGCCATCTTGGCCCTCACAGCGCCCTGCCCAGTTGGTGTAATATTTGTCTTCAAGCCATTGTTGGAGCAGGCAGGCAAAGGGGGCTTTCTGAGGATCCAACGTGTGCCAGCCACTGGGATACAAAGACAGGCCTGGTTCCTAGCTGTGGGGCTGGGAAGGGTATCTGACATCAATGGTGGCACCTGGCAGAGGACACACAGACAACAGCAGGCAGCATGGGCTGCAGTAAATGTTGCAGAAGCACCTAAAGGTTGAGCAGAAGGGAGGTAGGAAACCTGGACATGGCCTGCCAGCAGCTGAGAAGCCCCCCTGAGATCCTGGCGGCCCCGCCACCATCTGAAGATTTAGGCCAGTCCCTTGGGCTTTTCAGGCAGGCCCTTATGGTGGCCGGCCAGTTTGGGACCCTCCCATTTTGATACATTAGTTCCCCCTCAGCTACTGGAGATCTCAGCCACAACTGGGCTCCAGCTGTGACCCAGACTCCGCCAGGATCCCCTAGATCCTCAGCTGTCAGATAATCCCCTGTCCCCCTCCTCCTCCCCACTCAACCCCCAGTGCTTGACATGAATGCATGTGTGCTTCCTAGGACTAGAGGCCGGTGCTGTCTCTACCATTGCCCTCACTTTAAGGGGCACACGAGCAGATGGTAGCAAGCCCTGGAGAGCAGCACTCGGGCAAGTGAGGTGGCTCTGGCACTGCCCCTGGACTTTCATGTTTGTAGCTTGAGCTGGTTTTAATTGGAAGCTCTGTGATTTACATAATCACTTACAATCTCTGTAAATAAGGAACTATTTATGAGGAATTGTAAATTTCCTCTCTCCCCCTTCTTACCCTGTCTGTGATCTTGTCTGTGATGCAGTAATGATATTCCACTCTAGGTTCCCATGATCAGTGGTGAAATATAGTGATTTTCACCTGTGCTTCCATTCTGAAGTTCTGGAAAGAAGTACTGGATGGACTGAAGTCCAGGACAACGTCCCAAAGAAAGGCAGAGTCCAGGTAGGCTTGGAGGACCAAGCCCTGGATGAGCACTGGAGGGCAGAGGCCTCAGTGTCCAGCACTGTGCCCTGCACATGGAAAGCCCCTACGTTTGTGGAATGAATGAATAATAAAAATGTTTTCATAAGTGATGCCATTCTCAATTTTAATGTCATTGATCTGATAATGCAAATTTTAACAGCACATCTTTACCACTTCCTGCCTTAAATAATAGTTGTTAATACATTTCCAGTATTTCATTGAATCTAAGATCCATTGATTGTAAGACACACCCTTATTTTCTACTTCACTAAGCAAGGAAAAAATGTGTCAATTTCACCATGACTCTTCTCAGTGCAGGATGATAACTAGGTGGTGACATGTGAGCCACTGTTACTATTCTTGACAATGTCAGAGCAACTGATTCATTTCTTTGTTGAGACAGGAGTGGAGTGGCACAATCACGGCTCACTTTATCCTTGACATCCCAGGGCTCAGGTGATCCTCCCACTTCAGCCTCTCGAGTAGCTGGGACTACAGGTGCACGCCACCATGCCTGGCTAATTTTTTTTTTTTTTTGTAGAGACTGAGTTTCACCATGTTGCCCTTGCCCAGGCTGGTCTGGAACTCCTGGGCTCACACAGTCTGCCCACCTCATCCTCCCAAAGTGCTGGGATTACAGGAGTGAGCCACTGTGCCCAGCCAAATGATTCTTTTTTTTTTTTCCCCCTGAGACGGAGTCTTGCTTTGTCGCCCAGGCTAGAGTGCTGTGGCACCATCTCAGCTCACTGCAACTTCCACCTCCTGGATTCAAGCAATTCTCCTGCCTCAGCCTCCTGAGTAGCTGGGATTACAGGCACGTGCCACCATATCAAGCTAATTTTCGTATTTTTAGTAGAGACGAGTTTCACTCGAACTCCTGACCTTGTGATCTGCTTGCCTTGGCCTCTGAAAGTGTTGGGATTACAGGCATGAGCCACCATGCCTGGCCAATGATTCATTTTTAACAAAGGTCCTAGAAGTGTAAAAGTGAACCAAGAACAGCATTGGGTCCTATCAAGATGGGCCACCAATACATCACATCCTAGACAGCTCTTGAATTTGGAATCCCATCATTTCTCTTGGCACCAGGGAGGTCAGTTTTGTGACAGCAGCTCCCATCATCAACCCCAGCTACAGACAAATCACCCTGAGACACCTGAGCCTCCCTCACCTTAATAAGGTGAGGCATCTATTGCAGGGAGGATCCTCTGGTCCTTTAGGTCCTCTTGTCTCATGTAGCAAATTTATTCTAGGATTCTGCTACGGGCTGAATTTTGCCTCCCCCTCCCCAAATTCATATGTTGAAGGCCTGACTTCTAGTATGATGGTATTTGGCGATGGGGCCATTAGGGAAGGTAGTTAGGCTTAGATGATGAGGTTATTAGGGTGGGGCTCTCACGATGGAATTGGTGCCCTTACAGGAAGAGGAAGAGACACCAGAACTCCCTGTCATGTGAGGGTGGAAGAGTGTCCTCACCAGGACCTGGGCATGCTGGTGCCCTCTTGCCAGCCTCCAGCACTGCCATGAATTTCTGGTGTTTAAGCTGCCCAGTGTATGGATATGTTGTTATGGCAGCCTGAGCCAACCAAGACAAGTTCCCTCCCTCAAGAGCTTCCTGATCCCTTCCTCATTACCGCACCTTCTAGAATTTCCACTTCCTTTACTCTAGGCCATTGTCATGCCCAAGCTCCGAGGAGCCATGTCAGTAGATGATTAGGACCTGTTCCGGGTCTCCTTCCTAGAGCACAATCCAGAGTCCTGGGGGAAGGTGTCCATACCAGTGCCCTCTCCAGCTTACATCCATCCTGTCCCTGATGATCCAGAGCTACATGTTGCTCTGATGGCAGCTGGCTTGGGGTTGTGGTTTCAATTGTGTCCTCCCAAAGATATGCTCAAGTCCTAATCTTCAGTACCTGTAAGTGTGACCTAGGTTGGAAATAGGGGTTTTGCAGATATAATTAAGATGTAAGTTAAGATGAGGTCACACTGGAGTAGGATGGGCCCTTAATCCAGTATGGCTGGTGTCCATGTAAGAGGAGAATGCCATGTGAAGGGCACAGATGCAGAAGGACATCATGTGATGGTGGAGTGAGTTTGGAGGGACGTGTCTGCAGGTCAAGGAAGGGTGGTTGCTGGTGACACCAGAAGCGAGGAGAGGGATGTGGAACAGGTTCTCCCCTGGAGTCTTCAGAGGGAGCACGGCCTTCCTCGCACCTTGATACCACACTTGCAGCCTCTGGAAGTGTGAGGGAATACATTTCCATTGTTTTAAGCCCCGCAGTGTGTGGTCCTTTGTTTCAGTGGCCCTAGGACACTCCTGGGGTGGAGACTGTGCTTCTCCACTGGGCCAGGACGAATGGGGCAGTGGAGGCACAGCTTTGAGGAGGAGGGCGAGGCTGGGTCCTGCTCCAGGAGAGGCTATTACTTGTTCTCCAGGGGAGAGGCAGCTGTTCCACTTTCTCCTGGCAGGAATAAGGAGAAAACAGAATAGCTTTTCCTCCCTCAGCCCTGCTTTACCATCTGGAAAGTGCAGGGAGATTGGGTGGGGGTGGGGTCCCCATTTCTCAGACTTGTCTATCCAAATCTCCCCATCCTGGACCCCATGTCCCACTGTCCCATGTGGACTCTGACTCTGACCTGGGCAGCCCATTGCTGTCCCTTGTCTCCTTCCAGCCTTCTGCACAGACTGCTCCATGGCTACAGGATGTGAGAGCCTCTTTCTTTTTCTTTTCTTTTTTTTTTTTTTTGAGACGGAGAGTCTCACTCTGTCGCCCAGGCTGGAGTGCAGTGGCGCAATCTGGGCTCACTGCAAGCTCTGCCTCCCGGGTTCACGCCATTCTCCTGCCTCAGCCTCCCCAGTAGCTGGGACTACAGGTACCCGCCACCATGCCCAACTAATTTTTTTGTCTTTTTTTAGTAGAGACGGGGTTTCACCGTGTTAGCCAGGATGGTCTCGATCTCCTGACCTCGTGATCCGCCTGCCTCAGCCTCCCAAAGTGCTGGGATTACAGGCGTGAGCCACCGCACCTGGCCAAGAGCCTCTTTCAAAGCCCCTTAATGACCTTCTGGTATTCAGTTTGTCTCAGTTGGCGGTTGGCTGTCCTGAGCCCGCTGTTTCATTTATGCAAAGTGTTCATGTTGTGAATGGAAGCCAGACCCCTTACTATCCTCATCTTTATCATTGCCCTACACCAGGCACTGGCAACTGCAGCTTCGAGCCGAATCTGGGCAGCTATATAATTTGCAGGGCCCAGTGCAAAATCAAACTGTGGGTCCCCTTATTCAAAGGCAGGAAGAAAGTACCATGGAGGGTACTAAAATACTAAGCTTCTTCCTTTCTTCCACACTCTCTCTTTTGACCTATCATAGTGTTTTTTGTTTGCTCTTTACTGTCATTCTGAGTAAAGAAAAGTTAAAACATTAATTGTTAATGTAAAACAAAAATTAAAAACATTATGAGCGTGTGTACCATTCATCTTTGTATTATGAACGGATAGTTTTAAATGCAAATAGAAGAGCATTTACTGGGATGCAGAATCACTGAAATCACATGATTCCACACAAGTAAACAATATTTGTAGTTCACACATGCATATGCGTTTCATTCTTACAAGAACCGTGGAAACTGCCCAAAGCTAACTTCATTGTTTTCATTTCACTTCCTGCTCCATGCCCGTTCTACCAACACTCTCTATCTTCAGTATAACCAGGAGCAAAGGACTAACGGAAAAGGAGCCATGGGCTGCCCTCTCTTCTTCCTTCTAGCCCAACATTTTCAGAGTAAGTAATTGGCTAGCACATGTATGATAATACGAGTAGCATGGGGAAGAAAGTGTCTGATACATTTCCTTGGTTGCTTGTGTTTCTCAGAACACCATGTGATATGGTTTGGCTGTGTCCCCACCCAAGTCTCATCTTGAATTGTAATTCCCACAGTTCCCATGTGTTTTGGGAGGAACCTGGTGGGAGTAATTGAATCATGGGGGCGGGCTTTCCTGTGCTGTTCTAGTGATAGTGAATAAGTCTCATGAGATCTGGATCTGATGGTTTTAAAAACTGGAGTTTCCCTGCACAAGCTTTCTCTTTGCCTCCAAACCATCTAAGATGTAACTTGCTTCTTCTTGCCTTCTGCCGTGATTGTGAGGCCTCCCCAGCCATGCGGAACTGTAAGTCCATTAAACCTCTTTCTTTTGTAAATTGCCCAGTCTTGGGTATGTCTTTAGCAGCAGCGTAAAAATGGACTAATACACCATGGTATTCTTTCTGTATTTGAACCAAGTTCTGGTCCCAAAGGAAAGTAGGACCTCTTGGGCTGTCAGAACCCTACTTTCTCGGTCATAGATGGAATGTGCTTACCTTGTATATCCCATTGGGTCTTGCTGGACTCCATGCATTGTGGGCCTTCGGAATGCAATGGGGCACCACAAGCACTCTATATGCAAATTGGGCTGCAAGGAACATGCTGTGCTCATCTCTGCTCCTGACATGCTCATTGTCCTATTGGATTTCACCTGCAAAACACAAGTTCAAAGGTAAGATTATGAGTTTCCTGATGGCGACAGCAGAGCATGATAGCAAACTCAGGTCTTTCTAAGCATGGGGTTCTGTGCCACTGCACAGGTTCATGCCCATAAAGCGCTCCTGATCTAAGTGGTACTTGAGAGGTGTTAGTATCACCTGTTCCAGGCACTGCTGAATAGAGCAGGAGTTCCAGACAGAGTCCTGCTCTTTTACTATGAAATCACAGTGCAGTTGGGGGATGTGAGTTTATGTATTCAATAATTCATTTCAGTAGCATTTTCCATGCTAAGTCCTGTACATTAGATATATCAAATATGCGGGATCTGCAGTGAGAGTCCATGCTCTGAGATGTGTGTGAACGTGCATGCGTTAGATGTGTGAAGGGCTTGAATGGCTCGAATCCAATACAAAGCAGCAATAATGAAATAGACTACACGTTGATGTGGGAACCCGGGAGAAGGGTAGACTGGCCGTCAAGAGAGTCAGGGATGAGCTCACAGGAGCATGACGCTTGTGCTCGGTCTCAAAGAATGAGTAAATGTCTTCAGGGACTCTCCAAGGCGTGAATCCCGTCCAAAGGCCTCAGCCACCCACCTCCGCCGCCACCTCTGCTACCATCCTGCCTCAAACATCATGCTCCACAGCCAGGCCTTCCCCTGGCTCCCTGCACTGCCCACTGGGGGCCTCCCTCATGGCCAGGGTAAACGGCCCATCTTTCTACCTGGCCACGCTGGCCATGCTTCCAGGCCTCTGCTCTCGCTGGTCCTCTGCCCGAGAGCCCTTCCCTTCAGACATTCGCATGGCTTGCTCCCCGCTCCTTTCAGATCACTTGCAGATGTCACCTCTGAATGCTCCATCTAAAATACCACCCTACTTGCTGCTGGGGCCCCTTCTCTTTCCCCCACTCTGCCTTATGTGTCTTCACAGCACAGATTTGCACCTGACATTAATTATTTGATTATTATCTTTTTAAAAAAATTATTTATTTTTTGACACTGGGTCTCCCTCTGCCACCCAGCCTGGAGTGCAGTGGTGTAAACACAGCTCACTGCAGCCTCAACTTCCTGGGCTCAAGCAATCCTCCTGCCCCAGCTGTCAAGTAGCTGTGACCACATGCACATGCCACCACACCTGGCTAATTTTTGAATTTTTTGTAGAGATGGGGTCCCACCGTGTTGCCCAGGCTGGTCTTGAACTCCTGGACTCATATGATCCTCCTGCCTCTTGCTCCCAAAGTGCAGGGATTACAGACGTGAGCCACTGTGCCCTGCCTGTTTGATTATTATCTACTCCATGAGAATGGGGATGTTGTTTTGTTCCTGCTTGATGCCCAGTACCTAGAATAATGCCTGGCACATAGTAGGTGCTTACTAAATATTTGAATTATGAAATGAGTGTTTTGTGTCTGTTTCTACTAAAATGTAAATTCTTTGAAAGCAAGCACCATGTTCTTCATCTCTGCATCTATCCTGTTTAGCACAGAGCCTGGCACAGAGGAGATGCTTCATAAACATTACCTGATCTCTTCAAATGGCAACATAACATTCCACTAAGTGAATGCTGTTAACCATTCCCCTACTACTAGACATTTAGAGTTTTTTTTCTAGTTTTAAATTAAAAATAATACAGTGATAATCTTAGGTTTCTTATTTTTCATGGGTGTTTATTTATTTAAAATAGATTCTCAGAAGTGGCATGACTGAGTCAATATAATAAATACAATATTGCCAAAATTGCTTTCCAAAAGGGTTGGAGAGGATTGAAAATGTGGAAAATCCCATTTTACCCTTGCCATCTTAAAATGTTAGTGCTAGATAACAAACAAGCAGAAACAAAAACAAAACAACAACAAAAAGTACTGTGTTGACGGTATTGGTCAGCCCGGGCTGCTAAAACAAAATACCATGGACTAGGCAGCTTGAACAACAGAAATTTATTTCTCACAGTTCTGGAAGCTGGAAGTCCAAGATCAAGATGTGGGCAGATTCTCTCCTGGCTCTCCTTAGGGCTCTTCTTCTGGCTTGCAGACATCCTCAACATGTTGGGGAGAGAGGGAGAGAGAGTGGGAGAGAAAAGGAGAGAGAGAGAGAGAGATGTGGAGATGTGGTCTCTCTTCATGTAAGGGCACTAATCCCACCCTGGGGCCCCACCCTCATGACCTCATGTAAACCTAATTACCTCCTAAAAGCCCTACCTTCAAACAATATCACTTTGGGGATTAGGGCTTCACCATATGAATTTTGGAGGACACAGACATTCAGTCCATAACAGTAACCAAGAAAAGTTTCTGGAAGGCAACAGCATGACCAGATTCATTTTGTGTGCATTATGGGTTGAATTATTTCCCCCTCCCTTTTTTTTTTTTTGACATGGAGGCTCGCTCTGACGCCCAGGCTGGAGTGCAATGGCACAATCTCGACTCACTGCAACCCCTGCCTCCTGGGCTGAAGCAATTTTCCTGCCTCAGCCTCTCCAGTAGCTGAGGCCACATGCGGGTGCCACCACGCCCAGCTAATTTTTGCATTTTTAGTAGAGACAGGGTTTCACTGTGTTGGCCAGGCTGGTCTCGTACATCTGACCTCAAGTGATCTGCCCCGCCTTGGCCTCTCAAAGTGCTGGGATTACAGGTGTGAGCCACCACCCCCACCCCCCAACAAATTTATATGTTGAGGTCCCAAACCTCAGTACCTCATAATGTAACCATATTCAAAGATGAGGCCTTTAGAGAGGTGATGAAGCTAAAAAGAAGCTGTTAGGGTGGGGCCCCAATGTAAGAGGACTGGCGTCCTTATGAGAAGGGGAAGACACCAGGATGGGCACACACAGAGGAAAGGCGTGTGAGGACACAGTGAGAACGTGACCACCTGCACACCACAGAGAGGCCTTAGGAGAAACCAGTACCACTGACACCTTGATCTTGGGCCTCCAGCCTCCAGGACTGTGAGAAAATAAATGTCTGTTGTTGAAGCCATCCAGTCTGTGGCGTCTTGTTATGGCAGCCTGAGTGGATTCATGGTGGGTCAATTGCTGATGTTTTGGAGAGTGAACAGCTCATAGGACACGGTGAACCAGCTGCAGCTTCCTTCGGGCTGCGTGGAGGCTGCCGGCACCACCCCACAGGATTCTTCTCTGTGTGGATGCTCCTGGGGGTTTGCTGAACGCTGTGGGCCCCAGGAGGTACTAACTCTTTTTGCTGGCGGGAGAAGGCGTCCCTCCAGGGGCTTGGATTGGCCTTTATCTTTCCAGAAATATTTGCTGAGCCCGAGTCATGTGCTATGTGTTAGGTGATGGGGCTACAAGGCAAGTAAGGCAGGGTCCCCAAGGCTTAGACCAGCGGGGATGCCTGTAAGAAACAAATCACTACACTCATGCTAGAGTCAGTGTTTTGGGAAATTTAACGTAGGGTTCCTGGACATTGCAAGTATGTGTCCTTTTTAATTTGTATTTTATTATAATATACAGACAACTGGGTTTGGGAATCATATTACTCCTGTTTTTTTTTTTTTTTTTTGAGACGAAGTCTCACTCTGTCTCTCAGGCTGGAGTGCAGTGGTGCCATCTTGGCTCACTGCAAACTCTGCCTCCTGGGTTCAAGTGATTCTCCCACCTCAGCCTCCTGAGTAGCTAGGATTACAGGCACCCGCCATTATGCCTGGCTAATTTTTGTATTTTTGTAGAGACGGAGTTTCACCATGTTGACCAGGCTGGTCTTGAACTCCTGACCTCAGGTGATCCGCCTGCCTCGGCCTTGCAAAGTGCTGGGATTACAGGCATGAGCCACCATGTCCGGCCACTCCTAGTATTTTTAAAAAATATTGTGGGTGTTTTAGTATTTTATATTTACTTTTTGTTAGGAAAAAAGGTACATGTTTGTGTGGGAACATAGAGGCCCAATGGGAAGGGGGCAGAGAAGGAGATGAGGTGTGACCCCATCACAGAAGGGGTGACACCTAGGCTCCGGTGAGTTTTTGTTCTTGTTACATTCTCTTCCTTTTTAGAAAGGTAAGAAAATATTGACACAATAATATATCTACATGGTTCAAAATTCCAGTGGCACAGAAACAATGGTATCTCCTCTCACTCTTGTCCCCAGCCACCCATGTCCCCTCCTCGCAAGCAATTGATGTTCCCAGTTTCTTGTAGATCTTTCTAGAGTTTTTTCATGACATAAATGCAAACATGTCATCTCCCCTTTTCTTCCCCTCTACAAACAGTAGCAGGCTATGGCGGAAACACATTTTCCTTGCTTGCTTTTCTGTTTCTTCTTGGCAATCTTTCCCTATCAGTACATAAAGAGCATCCCCATTTGTAAAGGGTTGCCTGGCATTCAATTGTACGGCTGTATGTAATTTATTTAACAGTCCCCAGATGAGGGACAATTAGGTTGCTTCTAATGTTTTATAATTTAAAATGATGTGGCTACAGAATAACCTTGCAGACATCATTTCACAATTGTGTTTATAGACCTCTTAGTTTCTAGAAGTGTAATTCCTGGGTCAAAGTTATGTGCTTTTAGCATTTCAAAAGTTCTTGCCAGGTGCCTCCTTAGAGGTTGTATCAGTGTACACTCCTACCAACAACGCAGAAACATGCCTGTTCCCCATACACCCTGAATCCCTAGTGTGGTATCAGACTTTGTAGTTTTTAGCATCTTAAAGGAGTTTACCTGGAGGTCTTGGAGAATGAGGCTGGAGGAGGAGAGGGAGCTGGGGTTGCAGCTGTTGTGAATGAGGCCAGAAAGTCAGGGAAACTGGAATGGGAGGCAGGGAACTCTAGGCTCTCCAGTGAGCCGTGCTTACTCTCTGCTGCAATAACAACACTAGCCATCGTTTATGAAACATTTGCTATGGGTCAGGCACCACTCTAAGGCTGTAAGCCTGGAGTCAGACTCTTGTTCTGAAAAGGGCCAGATTGTACATGTTTGTTATTCTATAGGCAAAATAGTCTCTGTTGGCAACCACTCAGCTCTGCCTTTTTAACAGGAAAGCAGCCACAGACACCAAAGAAATGAACCAGAGTGGCTGTGTTCCAAGGAAACTTTATTTATGGATGCTGAAATTTGATTTTCATATAATTTTTGCATGCCACAAAATATTTTTTGAAGCAACAGCAAATATTTATTGAACACTTACTCTGTGCCATTAAAAAAC